>NC_000018.10:77551084-77852439 GCF_000001405.40 Homo sapiens
TGGCCAAATGAGTTTCCTCATATTCTCCATTTAAATACAAGCCCTGTGCCTCTGAGCTTATCTTGGCGAGAGAGGAGCAGGTGTGACAGTAGGATACAGCATCCCATCTAACCCGGAAGCACTTAGGATAGTAGGGTACATTGTCCCATCTAGCCTGGAGGCACTTAGGCGTCACCATAGTAAAGGGTCCTCCACAGGGAAACAGGAGGGGTGGAGAAAAAGTGTTCCTGTGTAATCTGGCCTGGTTCTCTGAGCTCCTTCCCTGCTGTTTCCAGTCCTCCACTTGGACATCACAGAAGCCACATAAATGATGTTCATATTCCTCAAACACACAATGTATCCACCTCTCAGGCCTCTTGTTCTTGTGGTGATTCTAGGATATTTTCTCTAATTATGGATGCAAATGTCTTCTCATAATTAATACATGATAATACCACTTCTTCATATATAATATCTGTTACCATCCCAACAAAAGCAGGTACTCTCATCTCTCTAATTCTCTCTTGTTTATTTTTAAAATTTACTACTTTGTTTGTTCATAGGCATTTTTTTGGTCTCATCCAATTTAAATGTCAGCTTCTTGATGTCAGGGACATTTTCTTGGTTAGCACATTAGTACATATTAGTTGTGATTCAACAAATATTTATGTTTTGGCTGACTTATAATTTGTGTTGTCACAGCCCTTCATTTGTAACTCTACTGATTGTATTGGAATTCATTTGTTTGTCCCGCCTGAAATCATGTCTCTCTTTCTGTCTCCCCCAACTTCTCTCTCTCTCTGTCTCTCTCTCTTTTTGGCCCGGGCTCCCTCTGTTGCCCAGGCTGGAGTGCAGTGGCGCCATCATGCTTCACTGCAGACCTCCCAGGCTTAAGCAATCCTCCCGCCCCAGCCTCCTGAGCAGCTGGAACTACAGGTGTAAACCACCATATCAGGTGAATTTTTGTATTTCTTGTACAGAAAGGATCTCACTATGTTGCCTAGGCTGGTCTCGAACTCCTGGGCTCAAGTGATCTGCCAGCCTCAACCTTGCAAAGTGCTGGAATTACAGGCATGAGCCACGGCGCCCAGCCTTGAAACCATCTCTTATTTGCCTTTTAATCCCCAAAAACTAAATATTGAGAGCTGATGTAATGTTTATTGCATATTCGGTCAGCTTAAATCTGCGTAGGATTTGAGAGACTGTAACACATTGCTTACTTTCAATGAAGACTTCAGGAAAATGATCTTGATATGATAATATTTCTCTATATATTTGTTACATTTGCAAAAGGAAACAAATGCTAATTTGTATTAATGTATCTAATTTGTCTAACTAATGTATCTAATTTATCTAATTAATGTATCCAATTTGTATTAATGTATTCTAGTAATGTAAAAGGGTAATTAAATTATGACCTCTAAAAATCTACAAAATGTCACTCTCTTCTTAAAACTAAAGATAATTTTAGTTCAGTTTTTGTTGTTGCTGTGAAAATGTTATTTCTCAGTGCAAGATTTTCTATTTGAGTAGAATAGTTAGTGATTATTTTTAATTACCTTGTCTTTGATGAAGCTCACAGTAAAAAATAATGAGACCATTGCAAATAAGAAGTATGTCTTCTGAGGGAGTAAATAGTCGTATTCATTTGGGGCAATTCTGAAATTCAAAGATTTGAGTAATCAGTGAATAATTCATGATTGTCTTTTGCTAAACTTTTACATTATAGCCCTCTTGGTTATTCTCATCAGTGAAACTTTAAACTTCATGAGGAAACATTAATGCCTCAGAGTGTCATCTAGTCTAAAAGCTGCTTTTATTGACTAAGCTACAAAAATTCAATGAACTGTGATGAATAAATCACAAAATTGTGATAAGTCAAAGCAAACACAGAAGTATTCTTAAGAGAAAATGCGTTATAAAAGTACATCTTTCAAGCAATTAAACTTATATTAAATATTACATTTGGTCAAAATCATATCCTGTATATTTTTAAGTTAATGTGTTGCTATCATTGCATGCCTCTCAATAGTAATGAAAGTTCTGAGTAACATTACATTAACACTTGTGATTTTAACAGAAGATTTTAATAGTCCTTTCGATCTTGATGAAGCTGACTCAAAACTTACTACAGTGGTCAGCTTTGACAGCTTATTGGTGACCAATTATACTGAAGCATAAATTTGAATTTTTTTTTGAGACGGAGTTTTGCTCTTGTTGCCCAGGCTGGAGTGCAATGGCATAATTTTGGCTCACTGCAATCTCCCCTCCTGTGTTCAAGTGATTCTCCTGCCTCAGCCTCCTGAGTAGCTGGGATTACAGGCGCCCGCCACCATGCCCAACTAATTTTTTTGTATTTTTAGTAGAGGCAGGCTTTCACCATGTTGGCCAGGCTGGTCTCGAACTCCTGGCCTCAGGTGATCCACCCACCTTAGCCTCCCAAAATTCTGGGATTACAGGCGTGAGCCACTGCACCTGGCCAAATTTGATTTATAGAAACTTCTAGATACCATTTTACTATTTTTTTTCCAAAATGAATACACTCAAGTTGTCTTTTTGCTTTCTGAAAATGTGGGCTTATGTGGAAAAAAAGAGTCTTCTTTGAGAAGGTAAGACTTTGACAACTCTATCCTCATGGAACAACTCCAGACACAACCAACAGAGCCTCATGATTTGGAAGTTAGCTGTAGGAAGACGTTTTTCTGATACCTGTTTCATCCTCTGATATTCTTTGTTTGTTTGTTTGAGACAGAGTCTCGCTCTGTGGCCCAGGCTGGAGTGCAGTGGCACAGTCTCAGCTCACTGCAACTTCCATCTCCCGGGTTCAAGCGATTCTCCTGCCTCATCCTCCTGAGTAGCTGGGACTACAGGCGCCCACCACCATGCCCAGCTAATTTTTTGTATTTTTAGTAGAGATGAGGTCTTGCTATGTTGGCCAGGCTGGTCTCCAATTCCTGACCTCAAGCAATTTGCCTGCCTCAGCCTCCCGAACTGCTGCGATTACAAGCATCAGCCACCATGCCCAGCCCCATCCTTTGATATTCTTTTCACTAATCACATTAATTGTGTGAATGCCACTTGCTTCTTAAACTTTTTCGCAGCCTATATGCCCTGTCATTTAAATACTTGTGCTCTGCAAGGTGAATGTTAATCTCTGAACGAATGTGCTCCCCCCCACATCCCACTGCCTGTCACTGTGGGCCTTGTCACAGCCAGGTGCATATGCAAGAAGTCGCTTGCATTTTAAAGTATAAGCTCTGGCAACCAGCCAGGGTGGACATCATCGGATCCTCTTATGTCTGTCAAATCCCATGCTTCATGAGTGTTCCTATGTGTTTTCCTTACAAACAGAATTCAAAGAAATCCTTGTTAACTTCTCCAAAATAAAATTAGTGCCATTGGGTTAAAATAGCAGGACTCCCAGCATTCACTGTACAAGCCAGCCATGGATATCAAGAAAATCTGACCACTCATATCACCGCTCAGGTTTTCTTCTGAACAGAGCTCATGAAACACTGACCTCTCCTTCCTTTTTGGGTCTCCATTCTGGACTCCATGAAGATGACTCAGTTTACCCTGACAAACCTGTTATGTCAATGATAAATTACAATCATTCAACTAAGCAATTGTGCAAGTTCGGCTGTGAGCTCCATCAGAGTCAGGCTTTCCTCTAGGATGCCTCCTAGTCTCAGCTCTGTCTCTGGAGCTCACATCTTCCGGCCCACGCTGGGCTTGTGCGCCTTCTCAGCAGGCCTGCCTTGTGTTTACAACCCTCCTTCCCTGACACCACAAGGCAGCTACTGCTGTTCCCAAGGCACTGATACAATCACAGGCCTTCCCTCTCTTAGTGCATGGATCACCCCCACCTCACACTCCAGGGCTTTCTCTTTAATGGAGAGTGCAAGCTATTTTGAGCAGAAAGAAAGGAAGGTGCTTTTCTTCTCTGGAACAGCACCAATGAGAACCATTGTTTCACAGTTTATATCCTTAGTCATTCATGGTGAAACAAATCATTGGGGAGAAAAATGAACAAAAAAACCCCAGAAGTTTTGTAAGTTCTAATATGCATAGGCTCTGGCTCTATTCTCTGGTGAGAAGGTTTCTGCTAGGCCCACAGTTTATAATATAAATACATATTTCTCTACACTCATGTAATCCAGAGGACCTGTAGATGAACTCCAGAGCTGTAATCAAGGTCAAATGACATCACGTGAAGACCCAGTGCTCAAAATATAACCACTAGTAATACACTGGAGCACATACTTGGAGATGTTTTGCTGATAGTTATAGGTAAAACTAAATTGTGTGTGTGTGTGTGTGTGTGTGTGCACATATATGTCTACATAAGTATACAGTCAGACTTTCATATCCTTGGGATTCACATCTGTGAATTCAAGCAACCTTGGATAAAAACTATTCGAAAAAAAATTGCATCTGTACTGAACATGTACAGGCTTTTTTACCTTGTCATTATTCCATAAACGATACAGTATAACAACTATTTATACATTTACATTTAATTAGATATCATAAGCAATCTAGAAATGATTCAAAGAGGTGGAATGGTGTGCATAGCTTATATGCAAATATTACACCATTTTATATCAGATACTTGAGCATCCATGGATTTTGGTACCATTGGGAGGTCCTGGAACCAATCCCACATGGACACCAAGGGATGACTGTATAATCTATGAGTATAACTGTATTTTTATCTATGTTATTATGTTGATAGCTACATAAAATTGCATTGTGTAGATGTATAATAATTTTTAACATTTATTTATTGAATATTTATTTCCACCAAGACACAGTAAACAACTTTGTGCATACATCTTTACATATTTAAACATCATTTCTAAAAAAATTAATTCACCAAAATTGGATTTTAGATGATAGATAGATAGATAGATACAGAGAGATAGATAGACAGATAGAGGATATGGTCTATATGGTTCATTAATGGCCCAATGATTAAAATCACTCATGATCCAAAGATTATGAGATCCAAATATATATATATGTAAAGTTGAACATAGTTTGATTTATATCATCATGATTTTTAGCAGCAAAGGTATAATTCTATACCTAAAGTACTAAGCTTTTATGAAGATTTTGTTTCTGTTTACTCTGAATTATCTAAATAATTACTTCATTTCATTTATGTAGATAAACTATATTGGCAATAATCTTAACTCTGACGGATTTAGGGATCTCAAAACAATCAACTTTAGTAACATTCTAATTAGTTGATGTAGATTATTTTCATTCTGCACTTCCCTGTTTTCCAGGAGGACAATTTACTCACTGGTGAGGAAGCAGGCTGACTTGGCACACTGATTTGCCTGATGGTGACACCAGTGCCTATTGTGGGCACTGAGTATGATTCCCCCTTCTTTCTTATTTCTTCCTTTTGAAACAACAGGAATGTCTATCCCATACTTGTCCCACTATTGTATTTTGGAAGCACATAACTTGTCTTATTTCACAGGTCATAGCAGGAGAGGAATTTGCCCCAGGAGGAATCTTACCTTGAGTCCCACCCATACCTGATTTAGATGATATTGAGACGATATTTTGGACTTAGAGTTGGTGCTGAAGTGGGTTAAGACTTTGAGATGGAATGAATATATTTTGTATGTGACAAGGACATAAATTTTGGAGGGAGCCTGGGGAAGAATGTTATGGGTCAAATGTGGCTCCTCAAAATTCTTATTTTGAAGTCATAACTTGCAGTATCTCAGAATGTGATTGAGAATGTAATTAAGTTAAAATGAGGTCATTACGGTGGACCCTAATTCCACACGACTTGTGTCTTTCTAAGAGGAGATTAGGACACAGACACACCGAGGGAAGACACTGGGAGAATGCAGTTGTCTGCAAGCCAAGGAGAGGGGCCTTAGAGGAAACCAACTCTGCCAACACCTTGATCTAAGGTTTCTCCAGAATATAGGAGAATATATAGCATCCAGAACTATAAGAAATAAAGTTTTGTTGTACTACTCAATCTGTAGCACTTTGTTATACTAACCCCAGAAAACTAATGCAAGTGGATAGCTCATTCAAGCTAATTCAAGTGGGTAAGCTTGTCCAATTGTAAGTAATGAGCTGGGCAGACAAAATCCATCAGCCAAAACCAACTGAGGTTCAGGACCACGGCTAGCACCTTGCATGCGCCCACTGAAAAAGTTGCTGGACTTCTGCAAAACACTGTTCACCCCATCTCCAAATAGCTTTCCAGGCAGCTGCTTGGATTAATCTCGTCATCCAGAGGGTGTTGTTTTTCATGACGAGGAGTATTTCTGGTTTAAGTGCTCTGATTCTGTGGTATAGGGTATAGGAACATAGACACGCACATCTGTTCATGTGTTTATATTTAATACGTATGTACATATATACAAGTTTTATACATGTATATGTACATATATGCACATATACATATATGCATATGTGGGTATGTGTATATAAAGCTTCGAAGCATTGTTTACTTTAAGAAAAAGTCACATCCTGCAAAAAATGTTGAAAAAACAATACACAGAATTCTGTATACTCTTTACCCAGCTTCCCTTAATGTTAATGTTACATAGTCACAGTACAATTATTAAAATCAGTAAATTAATGTTGATACAGTACTACTAACTACCTGTAGACCTTATTCAAATAGCATGAATTGTTCCACCAAAGCCTTTTTCTCAGGTAAGTATCCAGTCAAGGTCAGACATCACATTGACTTGTCATATCTTTGCCATGGCAGCTGGCATAATGTTGCTTTGTTGCATTCCTGCTATTATTTACTTTGATCATTAGGTTAATGCTACTTCCCAGTTTCTCTCTTGTAATGCTACTTTTCACATTTTTAATTAGTAGCCATCTTTTAGGGAGATATTTTGAGAATATGTAAATATTCTGCTTCTCATCAATATCATAATTTGCTTATCAATTTTAGTATCCATTGATGATTTTTTGCCAGAAACAATTCTTACTATAATATTTGCAAAAGAGCGATTTTCTGTTTTCATCATTTATTTTATAATTTTCATCATTTCTTCTGCATTTAATTGGGATTCTACCATAAGAGAGAACTTTCCTTTTGTAGCTGTCTGTCTATGTACCTATCTATCTATCTATCCATTATGAGATTTTTTTGGACTTAGCATCTGGCTCTGTCACCGAGGCTGGAGAGCAGTGTCACAGTCTCAGCTCACTGCAGCCTGGAACTACGGGGCAGAAGCGATCCTCCCACCTCAGCTTCCTGAGTAGTTGGGACTACAAGCAAGCACCACAACACCCTAATTTTTGTATTTTTTATAGAGATGGAGTCTCCCTATGTTGCCCAGGCTGGTCTTGAACTCCCGGACTCAAGCGATCCCCCTACCTCCACCTCTGCCTCCCAAGCACTGGGATTACAGGTGTGAGCCACCTCGCCTGGCCTATTATATGATTTTTTTTTCATACCTGTGTGGACCTATGGCTGTTTTATTCTATTTATTATCACTATTTATTCTATTGCTAAAACTGCCCCAGACTTGGCCATTGTATACTCCTCTGAGTTGCCTTCTGCTTCCTTCAAACAACCTCGCATTTTTTGGGAAGTTATTTACTTACAGGCACCCCTAGATCACCCACACTCCTCTTGTTTTCTCCTTGCTCTTAACCTGGATGACCAAATTCTCCAAGGAAGCATGGTTTCTTCACTGGATAATAGTATTTAAAGACCAAGATCTGGGTGTTAAGCAAAATGGGCTACAGAATATTTAGGGCCCAGTTCAAAGAAAAGGCAGAGTCCATTGTTTAAAAAATATTACAAAGGTAAGGGTGGTGGATGCAGAGAGGCAAGCCAAGCCCAGGCCCTTCTGAATGCAGGCTGCTGTGTGGCTTCAGGGTTGCAAATGCTGAGGCTAGTCCTGGTGCCAGGTGTATTTATCACTACTGGGTTTTCATTGTCTCTGCGCCATCTCAGGAGACAGGCTCAGACATATGTGCACATAAACACAGGTGCACACAGGCACATGTTCAGCCACTTCCTGCTTCCCTAGCTCTCTGTATGTGCGTACACATACGTGCATATATATCCATGACTTCCATGCGGCACCTCCAGTTCCAATCCATGTTCTCAGAGTTTTCTCTGAGAAGAAAAGTTTTTTCTTTCTCTTATTTGCTAGTCTTTCTCGACAGTTAAATACCTAGCACTTACTAACCATAATAGATTATATGTTTCTTTAGTCATTGAATTTGTACAAGGTAGTTTTAGATTTGCAAATCCGTAACCCTGTAAAAATTTGCTAATTAGGAGGCAGTATTTGTGTGCAGTTCTTTGTGTCTTTTGCCTTTGGCTGTAGGTGAAGACATTGTTTCCAGAGTTACTCAGGCTAGCTCTTTGTCTCCCTACTGTATTAGGTTTCCTGTTGCTGCCTTAACAAAGAAACACAAGCTGGGACTTTAGCCAACAGAAATGTATGGTTTCACAGTTCTGGAGTTCCAAAGTCTGAAATCAAGGTGTCAGCAGAGCTGGGCTCCCTCAGAGACTGGGCAGAGTCCATCTTTGTTCTTCCAGCTTCTGGTGATGGCCGGCGATCCTCACACTGCCTGGTTTTTAGATGTGTCACTCCCATTTCCACCCACACGGCCACGTGTTCTCCCTGTGTGTCTGTGTCTCGGTGTCCAAATGTTCCTCTCCCTAGAAGGACATGAGTCCCATTGGATTTAAGGCCCACCCTAAGACAGGATGACTCCATCTGAACTTGGCCACCTCTGCAGAGACTCTCTCTAAGTCACATTCACAGGTACTGGGGAGTGGGTCTCAAGCATCTTTTTAGGGGACACAATTTTACCCATAACACCCCCCCTCCTCAGGGTTAAACTAACAATTATATAATTAAACTACAAAATTAGTTGTGTTTGGATTTAACTTTTCATTCCCCACATGCCCTGGTTGATTTTAATTATTTATGTTTGGACTATATGAAATATTAATATGGCTCTAAATGTCAGGACCATTCAAAAATGTATCTTCATAGAAATGCTACTGCCCTTTCCTTTTTCTACCCTGTTTTCATTCCTTCCCCATTTTTCTACTTCCTTAATAGTTTCTGATTAATAAGTGTGTGTGTGTATGTGTGTGTGTGTGACAACATGTTCTGGAAATAACTCCATACTTGTTCATAGGAATCATCATAATTTATTTAGAGCTGCACAGTGTTTCATTGCATTAATACATTATATTTTAGTTTTCTTTTCTCCTGCATACAGGCATTTATATTGTTTCTACTATTTTGCACTTACAAGCAATTGTGCGATAATTAACCTTGTGGACATGTATTTAGGATTGTTAAATATTTCAGGGTAGATTCCTAGAAGGGGAAGGCAGGGTTAAAAGGTAAGTGCATATGTGGTTTTGTTAGATATTGTCAAATTCCTTTTCAAAGGTTGTGCTAATTTGCATTCCAACAAGCAGTATGAGTGTCTGTTTCAGTTTTACTGTGACAACGTGGTCATATTTTAATTTTCACAGTCTGATGTGTGAAAAATAAGCTTCTGCTGTTTTGATATTCATTTCTCTAGTTACATATGAAAGATGCTCAAATTCAGTCATATTTATTCAGGTTCCCTGTGTTTTTCTTTCTGATTTCTTACAGTTTTATTGCATGAAAGATGTTTGTGATGTTTGCAATTGGATGACTCAAGTCTTTGTCATGGAGACCTCCCTTACTCTCAAGGGGCCTCCCAGCGCAAGAGGCAGTGAGTCCATCACCATAGGAAGTGTGCACATGTACAGACTGTTCAAACATACAGTACAGACTGCTATGATGTCAGCAAACACCCATGTGGGAAAAGCAATGAGAATTCATCCAGCCAAATATGCATTTTGAATTAGTTTCTTAAAAACATGTTACATGAATTTAACTAGGGAATAGAGGATAATTACTACCAATACCAGATGTGGAAGAACAAACAAAAAACTCTTAGGACGTTAACAAAAAAGATTTTACTTAGCCATGTATCTATTAGATTTATTTGATTTTCAGGTTACATTAATTTGGAAAACAGAGAATGAGATCAAATAAGAATAACTGCAGGAGACGGGTGTTGCAAAACGATGCAGTGAATCAGTAGACCTAAGAAAATGGGAAATCAGATGAAGGGCGTGTGTAAATTGTAGTCTTTGTATCAGGCCTTGTCATGGCTGTCAGTGAACATGGCACTGAAACTTCTATATACTACCAGTGGGAACAATGAAAACTAATGAGCTTTTATTTTTTCTGTTTTGTGTCATTTTTGATTGGGTACCTAAGGGGAAAAAAGTGCAGATAGTAAATAAGTAGAAAAAGAAAAGGGAACACAAGGATAGGATGAATTCATAATACTACCAACGATAATGCTAGATGAAATATCATGATAATTGAAGTATGTATTATAGCTCAACTCATACTGTTTTGTACTCATGGTTCCTAGACTATTCAGTTTTAAGAGAGATACAACACACACTTCAGAGAAGGTAGAATCCATCATTTTATCCTTTAAATTCATACATTAAAAAAGAAACGGGAAAGAGAAATGGGCTTCATGACAATTTCATGTTTTTATGCTGAAGGGTCATGGAGTGGCTAATAGATACCAGTGTTTCATTTCCCTCACTGGGTAGTCAAAATACTGAGCCCACTCGAATGCTAGGATGCCTCGAATTTCTGAATACTCCTTTAAGTGGCAAACTATAAAAGGAGCAATACTCTGGGACAAATTGTTTGTTTTTTTTTTCATACAGTGATTACAAGGGACCTTTATTCATTATAAAACAAATGTAATCTGCATGTTATATCGTGTAAGAGAGGGCAATTGAAGCTAATCTAGGACAAAACAGTAGGCACTTTCAGCAAGCAAATGGGCCGTGCCTGTAAGTGATTGGATGGGGACAGACATAGAAACTCGATTAGAACCCGAGTGCTCCAGTGCTGCTGGTGGCAACGTTACGGAGACACAGCATGGCTTCCTGGAAAACAGTAAGAAAAAGGTGACGGAAAGAAAGAAACAAGGATAGAACAAAATGAGCCGCAAATATCCAAACAAGATGCCATGAAAATGGCTTAAGGAAAGGAGCTAAAGGCCAGGGGCAAACAGTTTCTATAGGAAGAGTCCAAGGTTAGCCATAGATAAGTTCCACAGAGGCAAAGGTATTGCTTTGACAGACTTTGGTCTTGCTCCCAGACTGACAAGGGGCTGTGTGACAAGGACATTCTCCATTCTCTCTACTGTGTGAAAATCTCTCGTGTCACTTCCTCATTATCAGAGATAGGCTAACAAATTTAACAAGTAAAAATGTATAAATATTATCACGGGTGCCTAATACCTAGAATGCATTTGTTCTATCAGGCTCTCAAGAATAGGTAACAGTATGAGAGGCATAATAAAATTGACAATGACCCTTCTCTTGTAGAATTTAGTCTAGTTTAATGATTCATAGTTACGGCAGCTGTCACTCACCTCATCAAAATTTTTATGATTAATGGACACTGTTACTCAAAAATGTAAATATAATCATACATATATTCCATCCATATTACTCAGATATTCGTGGAACTCTTAGATTTCATTTATGAGCAGCAGTTTAATAAACACCAGTTTAATGGAAAAGACCCACTAGTGGTTTTCCTACTTTTGTTAGTTATAAAAAATTTAACATACATACTTAAAGAGATTCAAATTTAATATGGCTAGCTTCTCTTGTGCATTACAAGGGCTTTAGGCAGCTTAAATCCAATCACACTCCTTCTACTTTATATGTTAATTTTGTCCAGAATTTTAGCTGTAACTTCTTTTATTTTAACCACCAAATGAGATGCATTCTGTATAGCTTTATACAGTCTTCCTAAGTATAGATTTACTCACATGCTTACCAGTTGATTTTTTTTTTTTACATTTCCTTCTTGCAACTCAGAGCATTCCTGAGAAATTCTTTTTATTTTCTATTGTCTCCTGAAGTGAGTCTTTTAGAAATTTCTTTTCTGAGGATCTTTTGATAAACTCACAGAATTTTATGATTGGAAGATTTTTTTTTGTTGTAGTTCTCTTCTTTTTCAGTAATATAAATTGCTTTTGCACTTTGAGAACAATGTTAAATGTATAAAAACTTATACATATAATCTGAACAACTTTTCCTCAAATCACTTGAGAGTAAGTTGGCAACACGATAGATACCCTCTCCTCCCTGATGCATCAGTTTGCATTTTCTTAAAACAAGAACAGGCCCACATGTAACTGTTAGAATCAAGAAATTAGTGTGGTTGCATCACCACCTTTTGAGCCTCGGGCCATGTTCAAGTTGGGTCCTCTGTCTCATGATGGCAAAGGATGCCGTTCAGAGTCACAAGGTTGATTTAGCTGTTGTGTCTCTTTAGTTTCCTGTAGTCTGGAGTACCTCCTCAGCTTTTCTTTGACCTTTGTGAAGTCAGAGAAGAGTGATTTTGTAGAAAGTCCCACAATATGGGTTTCTTTAGTATTTGCTTGTAGCTGGACTCATGGTGTACATCCTTGACAGGAATATCTCAGAAGTGATTTTCTATTCTCTCTATCCTATCAGGAGGAACATGATTTTGATATTGGTCCATTACTCATAACATTCACCTTGATCACTTAGTCAAGGTGGTATCTTCCAGTTTTCAGGCTAAAATTCCTTTCTTTAACTTTTGTAATTAATAAATATTTATATATAATTATAACCTATTTAAATGTCCCATTTCTCATCAATTTTTAATCTTTCATTTACTTATATGAAAATGAACTCAGAGTTTTCTATTTTATTTAATAGATCAAAATTCCCCACTGCCGTTTTTCATTCTGATGCTCAATTTGTCTTATATTTGGCCACTGGGAGCCCTTCCAGTTGGCTTCTGTGTCCCTGTGACATGTTTCCATCATTCTTTAAGCGCTTTTCTGCTTTCTGGCACAAGATGTTCTAGGCTTATCCCACACATCTTGCACTTTCTGTTACAACCTCAAAATTAGCCATTTCTGCAAGGAAGTTTGGTTTATTGTCGTGGAGAATATAATTTAGAAGCCATGATTTGGTGAGCTTAAGGCTATTGGGGTTTCACTTTCAGTAGACAGAACTAGGGAATATACATATGAGTATAATATGTAAAGATATGTACACGAATCTATCTATCTATCTATCTATCTATCTATCTATCTATCTATCTCCGTCTATTTATCATCTCTATCAATCCATCCATTTATCTATCTATATCTAATCTATCTACCTACCTATCTATACATCCATTCTATCTATCTAATCATCTAGTCTGTTTATCTATATTGAAGTTAATAAATTCACACCAATAACTTCAATTTCCATTCAATGCCACAGTACGTTTTTCTGGTCTTTTCCTTTCTATATTTGCAGTTCCCTTTTCCAGCACTGAGAAACCCGCTCTTTTTAACAGAAGATATTTACCAGTATGCCCAATCCTCTTGCATGCAGCCAGCCCCCAGTGCTGTCACTGCACCAGCACAGGCCCACACCCTACTTGCATGCCTCGCTTCCCTGCTTGAGCTCTGACTTTACATTTGCAGATGCTCATCCCCTCATGCTTGGGACACTCTTCTGCCAGCCTTGGGCTGTGACATCCCTCTCCAGGCCAGCCCTCTGTGAGGCAGCTGGCATTTCTCTGTGATTATCAAGCATTTTGAGCCTGCAATGAAGCAGCGAGGATGCATTCCTTCAGCAAAGGGGAGATCCATCTTCTGGGTACAGGGCGCATCCCAACTCCAGTCCCCTATAACAAAGAGAGGGGTTATGTCTACAGCAACCACATGGTATATTAAGTTCTTAGCTTTGATTTGCCCCAACTTACAAGATTTTTGTGCAAGATGAGTGACTTAAATCTTCACCTAGACACTACTCAGGAAACACCTCATTGTTTCTCTGTCATAACAAAGACAGACCATGAGCAAATGTGTCATGAAATGTTGACCCTGGCTGAAAACTATTGTGCATTGGGAAAAGCACAGAAGGAAACCCAGGGTCAGAGACCACCGAGCTCTGTTGGGACAGAATTTAGGTGAGTCATCAGATGGACTGTCATCCCCCCAGATAATTCATCCTGAACCATTCTGTGTTTTCTTACCCACTCTCTGATAATGAAGCAAATACACTAAAAGAGTTTATTATAGTTTTGGTAATTGCCATATTGGTTATCACTCACTAGTCACTGCTGCCTCTGTTGGAAATTTTTCCTAAATACCCATCTGAAATAAGATGTAAACAAAGCACTTAGTAAAATTATGTGAGTGTCAGCATTCAGATACTCTTCAAAGTAATTTAATATTTAATATTTGAATTTTGGAGAAAACAAAATGACTTTTGATTTATCATTTCATTATTGATAAACACTGCTGTAGAGACCTTTCTTTAAGCTTGAAGGGAAAGACGCTCTTTATCTTTTGTTTTTATTTAAGCCTGAGTTGAGACTAGAACAAAAAAGAACTTCAGAGAAATTCATCTTGCCACTATTTTTCTGAGAAAAAGAATTTTGTCTTCTTTACTCTTCCTCACATATTTATTTTTATTTTTTATTTCTATCTTTTTAGAGACAGGTCTCACTCTGTGCCCAGGCTGGAGTGCAGTGGCACGATCATGGCTCACTGCAGTGATGACCTCTTGGGCTCAAGTGATCCTCCTACCTCAGCTTCACAAGTAGCTGGGGCTACAGGCATGTGCCACCATGCACTGCAAATTTTTTCTATTTTTGTAAAGATGGGGTCTTACTGTGTTGCCCTGGGTGGTCTTGAATTCCTGGCCTAAAGTGATACTCCTGCTTCGGCCTCCAAAGTGCTGGGATTCTAGGCATTAGCCCTCACAATGGATCCACATATTTTAACATAATAAAATATGCTATTTTGAGTATGGAAAAGTGGTCCATGGTGTTCACATTGTCCTTTGAACACATAAGCTCTTTGAGTAAAAGCCATTCATTCAACACAGACACACACACACACACACACACACACACACACATGCAAACACACACACATGCACACACAGACACACACACACAAACACACATATACACACAGTGCACATTATTCACACAGGCACACACATGCACACAAGTGCACACACAGAAACACACCTTGAACACGTTCTATCTCCTTTGCCCAGTTCCTAAAAATTATGTTCCATTTATTGTAAATGGATAGCACATATTTATAGAGCCTAGTTACCTGTATAGTTATAATACTGTATTAAAACTATCTGGCCCAATTGGTTGTATTTTCTAACATCTCTTTATAAAATACAATAAAAATCCAAACAAAATAAAAAATCATATTAGTTGTAATTTTCATAAGTTATAATACTCTTTCCTTTCAGAAAGATCATGCTTCTAGGATTTGGGGAGCATAATGCTTTGAATTTTGTGCTGTGTTCACCTCAGCGTGTGTATGGAGGGTGCTTGATAAATGGCTTTGATGGCACAGGAGGACTGAAACAGCCAGAGACTGGGGCTGGAGCTCAGATCTGTCCATGAGACAGTTCACTTGGGCCTGTTCTATTCTTTGCAATTGTCACAAATCAGATTCCATCAATGCCTGCATTAGCTTTTCCATGCCAAGCCCCTCATCTCGTGAATGAAAGAATGATCCCCTTCAGAGCCCAGGACTGCTGGGGTTCACGATCTTCGCCTGCTGTGTGCCTACAACACCTTGGACCACAGAGCGTGCCGGATGCTGGATGGGTGAACAAGTGGGTGCCCACGTGGCAATCCGAGTTTGGGGTCTGAGAGATCCCTGGTGTGGAGGGCGGGACCTGGCTGTCTCAGGACCCCCAGCTCCGCTGCAGTCCACAATTTGACTGAGTTCTGCCTTTGTGCTTGAGCCACTTCCCCAGGTAGCACCTGTGATGGGTGATAGCTTAGTGCTAAGGCAGGCATGTTGCAGACTACCCGAAACCAATGTCATATTTACCTTGGAGTATTCACTCTTACCTCCTGCTTACTATATCCAGTTCTAAGAATTAAGCTATGTGGGATGGATGGGACATTGAAGCCATGTCGTTCATCTGGGGTAATACCTGAGGTTCGTTGCCTCCAACAAGGAAATCAAGGACACCCAAGCTAAGGAGTGAGGTTAAGAGCAGAGGTTTAATAGATGAAAGAAAGACAAAAGTGCTCTCTCTTGCAGACAGAGGGGGTCCCCAGCGGATCTTCCAGTCTGCGGAAAAGAGCAGGAGGTTTTATAGATGAGCTGGAGGAGACAGCCTATGATTTACATAGGGCATGAAAGATTGGCAGGACCAGATGTGCCATTTGCATAGCACCAGAAGAACTGGTCAGGCCTGGGTGTGCTGTTTGCATAGCCCGCAAAGAGGCTGGCCACACCCCCCAATCTTTTATTATGCAGAAGGGTTCTCTACTCAGCCGGGGCCATGTTGCCTGCTTCTTTTACTGTACATTTAGCGACTGGTACTCGGCAGGCTTTTCCTATTGGCACAGCTGCCAACATTCACCCTGCGCAAGCTTCCAGCTTGCTTATCTGTGTCTGCAGCTCGATTTTACAGGCTGCTCTTTGTTAGAAAAGAAATTATTTGGGGTTGCTTTTTGTTAAAAGGCAAGCCTTGCCAAGGACTCCTTTACCCTCACTATCTGCCTAAATAACTTCTTTTTAGCTCCTGTAGCAAAATGACCTTTTCTGGGTGGTTATGAAGTAGATCCCTGGAGAGGGGCATGTGGTGGCTGCTGAATGAGCCAATGTCTGTTCTGGGAAGTCAGGGACCCTGAACGGAGGTACCGGCTGAAGCTGTGGCAGAAGAACATAAATTGTGAAGATTTCATGGACATTTATCACTTCTCCAATCAATACTCTTATAATTTCCTATGATTGTCTTTACTTTAATCTCTTAATCCCACCATCTTTGTAAGCTGAGGATGTTTGCCACCTCAGGACCCTGTGATGGTTGCTTTAACTGTACAAATTGTTTATCAAACGTGTGTTTGAACGATATGAACTCTGGTCATCCTGAAAAAGAAAAGGATAACAGCGATTTTCAGGGAACAAGGGAGATAACCACAAGGTCTGACTGCCCACAGGGCCGGGCAGAACAGAGTCATATTTTCTTCTTGCAGAAAGTGAATAAGAGAAATATCACTGAATTCTTTTCTCAGCAAGCAATAACCCTGGGGAAAGGATGCATTCCCAGGGGTAGGCCTATCGACGCCTGCTCTGGGAGTGTCTGTCTTATGCAGTTGAAGATAAGGGATGAAATACACCCTGGTCTCCTGCAGTGCCCTCAGGCTTACCAGGATTGGGAAATTCCAGCCTGGTGAATTCTAGTAGACCGGTTGTCTGCTTTTGAATCCTGTTTCCTGATAAGATGTTTATCAAGACAATACGTGCCCAGTGGGACATGGAACCTCATCAGTAATTCTAATTTCGCCCTGGCCTTGTGATCTTGCTCTGCCCTTCTGCCCTTGTGATCTTTTATTGCCCTTTGAAGCATGTGATCTTTGTGACTTACTCCCTGTTCATACCCCACTCCCCTTTAGAAATCCCTAATACAAACTTGCTGGTTTTGCAGCTCAGGGGGCATCACGGAACCTACCAATAGGTGATGTCACCCCTGGAGGCCCAGCTGTAAAATTTCTCTCTTTTGTACTCTTTCTCTTTATTTCTCAGACCAGCTGACACTTAGGGAAAATAGAAAAGAACGTACATTGAAATATTGGGGGCTGGTTCACCCGATAAATGTCAACAGTGACCCAGGTGCCAATTCACAGATGGATTTTTTTCTAAAGAGTTGTTTATTAAAGTATTAGTGGGAATGATGAGAAGAACGTTCGCTCACAATGCATCTGAGATCCTTGGGACTAGAAGTGGAAACCGGGCAAGTGGAAACCAGGTTCCTGGGACCTCACTTGGCCTCTGAACAGAATTCTTGTTAAAGTCCACATTAAAATGAGATAAGCTTTAAATAAGGCTCTACTCTTATTACTGGACACAACTGTTAAAGTCATATCTATCCATGAAAATATTTAGAGGGATCTTTAACTGCAGACAAGTAGAGCATTAGGTGAGAATCAGCCACCTTTACGAGGAAACCCCACGCCCTGTCATCCCGCAGTTACCTTCAGCATGCACCAGAGGCTGAATATTATGTGCCAGGAGCTCAAACACAAATTGCCAGTCCCTTCTTGGTGAGAGCACCTGTGGTGCATGGCCCGCCCACGTCTGGCTCGTGTCACTCCTCTGGGTCCCACTGGTTGTCTTTTCTGTGTCCTGCACTCTATTTTTTAAAACTAGGCTTTTATTACTACTTGGAGATCGTATTAGTCTGATCTCACACTGCTACAAAGACATACCTGAGACTGGGTGATTTATGAAGAAAGAGGTTTAATTGACTCACAGTTCCACAGGCTATAAAGGAGGCATGGCTGGGGAGGACTTAGGAAACTTACAATCATGGCAGAAGGTGAAGGGGAAGCAGGCATGGTTGTCACACGGCCAGAGCAGGAGGCATGGGGAGGTGCTACACATTTTTAAACAAGCAGCATTAGGGAGATGGTGCCAAAGCATTAGAACCCGCCCCCATGATCCAATCATCTCCCAGCAGACCCCTCCTCCAACACTGAGGATCACAACTCATCCTGAGATTTGGGTGGGGACACAGAGCCAAACTGTATCAGATGATTTTCTAAAAAATATATGTCAGTCACAAAAACATCTTCCGTTTGAACAGGTTGTCTTTTTCAATGGTTTTGCTAAAGTCATTTGTTTCCTCAAACAACCTCTATAGAATACACACCACTGATCAGTTCTCTGAATTGCTTATCTCCTATCTTCATGCTGTAGCTCGGTCTTGCTCTGGCTCTCTATCTATCAGGTTGAAATGTTTCTTCCACATTTTTGGGGCCCAAATTGAAAAAGTGACAATTGTCACAAAGTGACAATGCTTTCCGTAAATAATCCAGGGCATTTTCTATGCAATGGAGTAGATGTGACTCCCCAGATGGAGTCATACAAAAGTGAGATTTTATTATTTTTGACCACCTTTGATAGCAGCTCCCTAGACCTGCCAAAATACCAAAATATCAATTACATGAATGAAGGCTTGTTGCATACATACAGAGACCAAAAGCCGAGGTAATTTATTTATATACTTACTATTATTTTCTTTTGTATAAAGGGTTTTTTTTTTATTTTGCTTTTTTTTATTATACTTTAAGTTCTAGGGTACATGTGCACAGTGTGCAGGTTTTATACATAGGTATACATGTGCCATGTTGGTTTGCTGCACCCATCAAACTTGGCTTTTGGAGGCTGGGCATGGCAGCTCATACCTGTAATCCTAGCGTTTTGAGAGGGAGGTGGGAGGACTGCTTGAGCTCAGGAGTTCAGAAGAGCCTGGGCAACACAGTGAGACCTTGTCTCTACAATTTTTTTTTTTTTAAATTAGCTAGGCATGGTGGCATGTACCTGTAGTTCCAGCTACTTGGGTGGCTGAGGTGGGAGGATTGCTTAACCCCAGCAGGCCACTGCACTCCAACCTGGATGACAGAGACCTTGCTAAGGAAACAATAATAAATAGTTACTTATTATTATCCTCCCACTTCAGCCACCCAAGTAGCTGGAACTCCAGGTACATGCCACCACGTCCAGCTAATTAAAAAAAAATTGCAGAGACAAGGTCTCACTTTGTTGCCCAGGATGGTCTGAACTCCTGAGCTTAAGCAGTCCTCCCACCTCCCTCTCAAAACGCTGGGATTACAGGCATGAGCTGCCATGCCCAGGCTCCAAAAGCCAAGTTTAAAAGGCAAAAAAATGTAGTTTGCAGATATCCATTGAATTGGGAATTTTATAACATAGTGACTTTCTAAATGCCTCGAAAACATCCCCTGAGTTCAGGAAAAGATCAAGTTTGCAGGCTTGAATTTTACTTCCACTAGACTACTGCTGCATTTATCTGTCTCCTATTTGGGAGGGAGGTATGATACTTCACAGGTAAAATGCATGCTGCTATTAAAAGAAAAACAGTTTGCATCACTGTACCACATCAATAAACAAGGCAAAACACATTATTCAGGCAAAAAACAAGTTTATTATCTTTACAAACGTAGCCAGAAAGTAGTTTTTACCTTTTTTGATTCAGAATACTTTTCTGATGTAAATCTACTCTATTAAGAAGACGAACTGCCCAGAGAATCAAACAAACTACAATTTATAAAGTTTATGCTTAAGATCATACAATATGTAGATTACTTAATAATTGCAAATATATAGAATAATAAATGTTTACACACATGTTTACGTATATCGATGTGTGTGTGTACATGTATGTGTGTACTTGTGTGTATGTGCGGATTTGTGTGCCCATGTATGGGGACTGAGATGCCCCTGAAAATTGTGAACCCCCTGGACTCTTAGGAAGCCCTGGAGCCTGGAGAAAGGAGCTGCCCTTCCCGAGAAGGAATGATGTTTGCACCTTGCCTGGAGACACTGTGGTACCTCTTGCTACAATAAACCATGTGTCTTCCTCAGCTTCAACCTCCACTTCTCTTGGCCACTAGGCTGATGGGGATGATGTTACTTATCCAGCAGAAATATGGGGGGCCTGATAAAGAAGGAAAAGGAGGTGCAGGAGCATCCCAAAGGCACATGACCCAGCCAGAATATCCAACTTGAGATGGGGAAGGTGAGTGGCTCTGGTTTTCGGAGCACCTGATAGAAGGGTCAGGAGGTTCGGGAGTGTTTACAGATGCTTGTCCCTGCAGTCGTGAGATACAGAACATAATTCTCTGGCAAGAACCCAGGAGGCAGATTTGCTGCTAGGATGGCAGCTCAAGGTTCAGAAAAGGCGATGCTCCGTGCTGTGTGAAATTGAAATACCACTGTTTCTGTGGTCAGCGGTGGAGGGTTGTGGGTGTGCTACAGTGATCATGGTGTAAGTGGCTGCATTGATGTGCATGAGTGATTGATGTGCATGTAGAAGGATGGAGGGGATGCCATTTCACAGCCAGGAGATGCGCTGGTGCAATGGGCACCTATCTCTTTAAGCTTTCCAGTAGTGGCTCTCCTCTGTCAAGCAGGGCTGCCGGTAGCAGAGACTGTTATGGGATGAGATTTGCTAGTGGCAGTGGGGAGGACAGGACCCTGGCCACAGGAGGCTGGGTGGGTGAGCAGGGGCAGGTCACAGTGGGACCCAGATGCCTTGCCCCGCACAGAGAGATGGAGACAGCTGAGGGGCATCAAATCTCTAAAAAAAGGTGGGAAAGATGGATGATGGGAGAGTGGGGGAGTCACTCCCACAAAAACTCAACCACTATTGCATTGTTTCTGGGTCTGGGTCAGTTTACAGATCTAGACTCACTGACTGAGGTGTGGCCAGGTCCCCAGGCGGAAGGGCCCTGCAGCCCCATGACATGCAGATATGGAGAGGGTTTCCAGTCTTCCCCAAAGGGACCTTGGCCATTCCTTGGTGTGGGGCTATGTAATGCGTCCACTTGGCTGGGCTGGGAATTCCCAGCGCTCCCTTTCCTGTGGGTGAGAGCAACTCTTCCGGAAGAGGTGGAGGGTGGAAGTGGCGCAGCAGCTCTCTGGAGCCCACAGACTTTGTTGCTTTTGTGTTGGGCAACCTCAAACTGCCCAACTTCCCTGTTACCTCCCTTCAGCAGCTCTAGCTCCTGGCCAGGTGCTTGTACTTCACAATGGAATGAAGGCCTCAGTTGTGCCGGATGCCCACACCACCAAGGTCAGGGCCAAGGGGAACTGACGCCGGGGGCAGCCTGTCCTCATGGCTGCAGCTCCCGCTCCTGAGTTCTGCTGTGCCCATGTTCCCAGACCTAGCGGTTTTGAAATGTTGAAATAATTGTTCATGTGTTCTTTCTTCATATACAGCCAAGGTTGCTGAACAACTGTTTTTTAAGAAGTCTTTAGTCACAATTGTGGCTTTCTGCTACTGTTATTAATTGGCTTTAAATTATGTTCCAGAATATTGCCTCTGTTGGATTCAGGCAAGTTTAATAGTTCCCATTCAAATGCAGACACACACATATGCGGCCTTCTCTCTTGAATGCTGCTCTATGGCCAACTCCAAGCTTCATAATAACCCACCAGTACCCCAGACCCAGCCGTAGCAAACATTTCTTGGTACATAAGATCCAGCATTTCAATGGTGTTTTGTTTTCTTTCCTTCTTACTTTCTTTTCCCCAGAGAGCAAGATCTCATCCCTAGCTACTTCTTTGCACAGCAGCATATAATGTAGGCACCAACATGCTTATTGAATTCTGCAGATGTTGTCTATGTGATTAGTTTATCTGTTATGCTGATTTAGTGATGACTCGGTGGCCAGACCTTAAATAATTCTGAAAGCAATACCTCTCAGAGATAAACAGGAGTTGTGGTTTTCAAGCGTTGTTTATTTCTTTAGAAGATTTGCATTGAAAGCAGGATAGAAAACACTAAGGACCACCAACTCCAGCTGATCCATTCTAAAGCTGGAACATAAATTAGTGACAATAGTGAATTCTCACTTGATAAATAAATACAAAGGAGATTTGGATGATTTTTCTTCTGCCTTAGCAATTGAACAGTGCAGGGCTGTGTGTGATGCCAACAGTGACGCGTGTGTTATGTTAGAGCCAAAACACTCATTTAGTTATGAATCAAAATGTGTAAAAAGCAAGAGTAACAACAACTGAAAATTCCTAGACCACCTCATGACAACAGTGATAATAAACTGATTTTTGGAAAACCTATTTTGAAAACACAGCTGGGGGATACCAACTGTCTACGTAGATGCACAGTGAGAGTTTGACAATATTTCCAAGAGTTGCATAGCAGCCAGATTTCTTAGAAAAGTACTTAGCAAGACATTTCAGTAAATCCTGCTAAAGCAGTCATTGCAACTATAAATGGCAAATATTATGAATCCTAAATTTTGGTACTTAACTAGAATGAAGACTTTGTCAAATATACAACTGAAAGTTCTTAGAATTATGAAGCGTTTTCCCCTAAAAACAGAAGGAAAAGACTGCGTTTTCATCAGAAGAACCTGCAGGCTCCACGAGCCTCATGTCGTGTTTGGATGCTTATTGTTCTCAGATGCTATTACTGGGTGAATGACGCACTGGCCTGCATAATTCTTCATAGTCCATTCTGATCCTTCCTTCCACATCTACAATATCTGATGGAAAAGGACACTTTCATCTGGACAATTAAGCCTGGGAAAGTATTCATTTCCTTCCTTCCTTCAACAAATAGTCACTGAATGTCTTCAAGATGCCCATTGCTGTGCTGGAGAGTGGGATGCTGTGTGAGAACCAGAGGAGCATCAGGACCTTGGGTCTGATATGGTTTGGAGCTGTGTCCCCACCCAAATCTCATGTCAAAATATAATTCTCAGTGTTGGGGGTGGGGCCTGGTGGGAGGTGATTGGATCATGGGGGTGGTTGCTTCATAAATAGTTTAGCACCTTCTCCTCAGTGCTGTTCTTGTGTTGGTGAGTGAGTTCTCATGAGATCTGGTTGTGTAAAAGTGTGTAGCACCTCCTTGCTCTCTCTTCCTCCTGCTCCAGCCATGTAAATTGCTGGCTCCCCCATTGCCTTCCGCCATGATTGTAAGTTTCCAGAGGTCTCCCCAAAAGCCAAGCAGGTGCTGCCATGCTTTTTGTATGGCCTGCAGAATCGTGAGCCATTTCAACCTCATTTCTTTAGAAATTATCCAGTCTCCTTTATAGCAGTATGAGAACTGATAAATACAGGGTCCTTCTATAATAAGAGAATGAGAAGCATTAGACAAGCAATCACGTTGATAAATAGCTGCTAATGGAAACAGGCTATGGAGGAACATTCCAAGTGTTATTAAGATGTACAACACTTAGACAGCTCCTGATTGAGTGCTCAAGGAAGACCACCTTAATGTATTATTATGAATATTAGTTAACCTGGGTGGGGGATAGATTTGGAGGAATGGGGCATGTTGAAATCTCCAAAGAAGAAATAGAGAGTTCTATTAGATAGATGTAAAGAAGGCCAGCATGCAATGCCAAGAAAATCCAGGAAGGAGGACAGGTTGGGAAACAACTGGAGAATCAGAAAGAAGCAGCAGACTGCCAGAAGCTTACAAGACCTGCTAAGGATTTTTACCATCATTCTAAGCATGACATGAACCCAGTGAAATATCTGGAGCAGAGAAATAATGCAACTAGATTTGCATACAAAGATTAAAAAAAATCATTCGGCATGAAGTGTGAAGAAGGCATGAGGAAAGGTTAGAGTGGGTGTGGACAGCCCAGAGGGATTCGACAGGAGTCCAGGGAGAGATGAGAACAGAAGGAATGGAGAGGGGTGGAGAGACCCAGAGGGAAAAGGACTGTAGGATTCATTGCATTTATTGGAGTGGTAGAGAGGTGTAAGGGACAAAGGGGCTTGAAGTGAAGCCAATCACTTATGTCCCTAACACACCCCTTCTCCCATTCCTCGGTTGGAGATTCTCAGAATCTGGGCATGCTTGGGGAAAGTGTTGTACAAACAAATTGAACATCAATAACTTCATCGATAATCAGTAACATCAAGTTCTTGGACAGGAACATGACCGCTGCTGCGCCCCCCTTTCGGCTGCCAGGCTTATTCCTCTTGATTAAGCACGATGTGCACATTGCTGCTCTGGTCTGGGACCAGGACCCCAACTCCATGCCTTCTTCTCCTAGGCCCTGCAGCTTTCTCTCCCCTGAAGGTCATACCAGAAGAAAAATGCTTCTCTCTTATTGTCTTGTGTCCTCCTAAGATCCAATTTAAAAAGTGAGACTCTAATTGCTCCTGAATGAACTACTTTAACTTATTTAGGGGGAAAAATTTAATAAATCAGAACATTCTTTGGACTGAGTCATCGTGATAAGTACAGAGTTATTCTTGGTTCATGATACACATGGAGCCAAAACATAGTTCTTGCTTGAAAATAAACAATATAACTTTGTCCTTATTCTCTAAGAGGAAGAAAAACCAAATAATAGTAATGTACTAGGAAAATTTCCATAAATACATTGATATCTCTTATACCATTTTATTTAAATCTTAAGTTGATACAAACACAAATAGAATCATACAAAAATTTTCATATAAGAACAATTTAACATATTTCTTATACAGCTAAATATATTAATCCCTTCTGTAAGCCTTACAGGATATTTTGCATATTAATGTAACTATTTTATAGCACATGTTTATTCAGTCATCAGTGTAACGGGTACCTACTGAGCTCCAATTACTTGTGAAAATGACACAGGGCTAATTTGTCCGTACTTCATCATTTATCCAATTTGTTCCATGAAGAGGTATGACTGTTGGCTGTATCTGGTGTATTATGTTGAATAACCAAGATAGAAGGTCTAATAAGGCTTGATTTCTGACATTAAGAAATGAGAGGTCTAGTGTATGTCTTACTTTACTACTTTAGGTGAATATTTCATGACAAGTAAATATTTTTTAAAAACTTTGACTTCTCAGGCCACAGAGAAACTCTCAAGAAAACCAAGTTTAGCTTACAGGTATTTCTAGCATCTGTGAGTTGTTAAAGACTCCCAAACCATAAAATTAGATCTTTAAAAACATGCAAAAAGGAACAGACAAGCTGAAGGGTTAATAATGAGAAGCACGTGCTTACTCTCTGTGCTTTAACCACATGGACACTGTTGTCACTGCTACTAATGCTCACGTTTTCAGGTTTCTATTTCTGGTGTGGGTGACACTGCTCTTTCTTTAGAAAACATACTTTAAATGGCTTAGGGAGTAAATGTGGTAAAATGAATACAAAATAAGTAGGAAGATGAATGAACAATTCAATATTATATTCCAGAGAAGATAAAAATAAAAAGCTAAGCAATTAACACTACACTTAAAAGATGAGTGTGTTGTAGTTGACCACAGGTACCAGGGCTCCCTGTATTCTGACACCCAAGTGCTAGACACATTTCTGCTTTTAGCAGGCCTGCAGAATCATCTGAGTTTACAGATATATGCATGCAATTGAATTAGTGTGCAGACATGCATTCTCTGCCATGTCAGCTGAGAAGACGATGAGGCCTAGGGGCAGTGGCCATCCAGCAGCCGTATGAACCTAGTGTGCAGATCTTGGTTTCTAAGGCCATTCTCCCATAAAAGGTGCCAGGGCGCCTTGGATAAATGGCTGATGCTAGGACTAGGGCAGGAAATATCCAAGGTAATCTTGGTGCATATTGTTGCCAGAAAGCAAGGAAGTGCTCAACACATGCACACATGCAAACTCAGACACGCACACTCACACAGCATATGTCAAGAGACACAGGAGTCAACTGAAGGGCTCGGAATAGCCAAGTAGGGAACAATGAAAGCAAGAGAACAAACCATGTGGTCCTAGATTATAACCCAAAGTATACAATAAATGTCCATGGGTCCATACTGATATGAAAATGATATCAACAAGTAACTAAACAAAGCAGAATAGCCAACTGTCCTGTGTAGAAGAATTCAAAATAATTTATACAAATATTCCATTCTCAGGAGGAGGGTCATCACTCCCCACCCTTCAGCGTGGGCTGTGAAGAGGAACTTCCTTCTTAAGAGTACAGCATGGGCAGTGAGACGAGATCACACCACTGCACTCCAGCCTGGTAACAGAATGAGACTACATCTCAAAAAAAAAAAAAAAAAAAAAAAAAAAAAGGATGGTTGCTTCCAAGATGGCCAAATAGGAACAGCTCTTGTCTGCAGCTCCCAGGGAGATCAACACAGAAGACAGGTGATTTCTGCATTTCCAACTGAGGTACCTGGTTCATCTCACTGGGACTGACTGGTTGGACTGTAGGTGCAGCCCACAGAGAGCAAGACGAAGCAGAGTGGGGTGTCACATCACCTAGGAAGTGCAAGGGTTCAGGGGATTTCCCTTTTCTAGCCAAGGGAAGCCGTGAGAGACTGTACCTGGAGGAACAGTATACTCTTGCCCAAATACTGTGCTTTTCCCATGGTATTAGCAACTGACAGACCAGGAGATTCCCTCCTGTGCCTGGCTCAGTGTGTCCCATGCCCACAGTCTTGCTCACTGTTAGCGCAGCAGTCTGAGATCAACCTGCTAGGCTGCAGCCTGACAGGGGGAGGAGCATCTGCCATTGCTGAGGCTTGAGTATTAAACAAAGCGGCTGGGAAGCTTGAACTGGGCAGAGCCCACCGCAGCTCAGCAGTGCCTACTGCCTCTCAAGAATCTACCTCTGTGGGCAGGGCATACCTGAACAAAAGGCAGCAGACAACATCTGCAGACTTAAACGTCCCTGTCTGACAGCTCTGAAGAGAGTAGTGTTTCTCCCAGCATGGCATTTGAGCTCTGAGAACAGACAGACTGCCTCCTCAAGCAGGCCTCTGACCCCCATGTAGCCTGTCTAGGGGACACCTCCCAGAAGGGGCCGACAGACACCTCATACAGGCAGGTGCGCCTCTGGGACGAAGCTTCGAGAGGTAGGAGCAGGCAGCAATATTTGCTGTTCTGCAATATTTGCTGTTCTGCAGCCTCTGCTGGGGAAGACTGAGGGTCTGGAGTGGACCTCCAGCAAACTCCAACGGACCTGCTGCTGAGGGGCCTGACTGTTAGAAGGAAAACTAACAAACAGAAAAGAATAGCATCAACATCAACAAAAAGGACATCCACACCAAAACCCCATCTGTAGGTCACCAACATCAAAGACCAAAGGTAGAATAAACCACAAAGATGGGTAGAAACCAGAGCAGAAAGGCTGAAAATTCCAAAAACCAGAGTGCCTTTTCTCCTCCAAAGGACTGCAGCTTCTCACCAGCAACAGAACAAAACTGGAGGGTGAATGAGCTTGACGAGTTGACAGAAGTAGGCTTCAGAAGGTTGGTAATAACAAACTTCTCGGAGCTAAAAGAAGGATGTTTGAACCCATGGCAAGGAAGCTAAAAACCTTGAAAAAAGGTTAGACGAATGGCTAACTAGAATAAACAGTGTAGAGAAGACCTTAAATGACCTGATGGAGCTAAAAACCGCAGCATGAGAACTTCGTGATGCATGCACAAGCTTCAATAGCCAATTCGATCAAGTGGAAGAAAGAATATCAGTGACTGAAGATCAAATTAATGAAATAAAGCGAGAAGACAAAATTAGAGAAAAATGAGTGAAAAGAAACGAACAAAGCTTCCATGAAATATGCAATTCTGTAAAAAGACCAAATCTCCGTTTGATTGGTGTACCTGAAAGTGACAGTGAGAATGGAACCAAGTTAGAAAACACTCTTCAGGATATTATCCAGGAGAACTTCCCAACCTAGAAAGGCGGGCCAACATTCAAATTCAGGAAATACAGAGAACACCACAAAGATACTCCTCTAGAAGAGCAACCCCAAGACACATAATTGTCAGATTCACCAAGGTTGAAATAAACGGAAAAATGTTAAGGGCAGCCAGAGAGAAAGGTCAGATTACCCACAAAGGCAAGCCCATCAGACTAACAGTGCATCTCTCGGCAGAAACCCTACAAGCCAGAAGAGAGTGGGGGCCAATATTCAACATTCTTAAAGAAAAGAATTTTCAACCCAGAATTTCATCTCCAGCCAAACTAAGCCTTCATAAGTGAAGGAGAAATAAAATCTTTTACAGACAAGCAAATGCTGAGAGATTTTGTAACCACCAGACCTGCCTTACAAGAGCTCTTGAAGGAAGCACTAAACATGGAAAGGAAGAACCGGTACCTGCCACTGCAAAAACATGCCAAATTATAAAGACCATCAATGCTATGAAGAAACTGCATCAATTAACAGGCAAAATAACCAGCTAATATCATAATGACAGGATCAAATTCACACATAACAATATTAACCTTAAATGTAAATGGACTAAATGCCCCAATTAAAACACACAGACTGGCAAATTGAATAAAGAGTCAAGACCCATCAGTGTGCTGTATTCAGGAGACCCATCTCATGTGCAGAGACACACATAGGCTCAAAATAAAGGGATGTAGGAAGCTCCACCAATGGAAAGCAAAAAAAAAAACAAAAAAGGAGGGGTTGCAATACTAGTCTCTGATAAAACAGACTTTGAACCAACAAAGATCAAAAGAGACAAAGAAGGCCATTACATAATGGTAAAGGGATCAATTCAACAAGAAGAGCTAACTATCCTAAATATATATGCACCCAATACAGGAGCACTGAGATTCGTAAAGCAAGTCCTTAGAAACCTACAAAGATACTTAGACTCCCAAACAATAATAATGGGAGGCCATAACACCCCACTGTCAATATTAGACAGATCAACGAGACAGAATGTTAACAAGGATATCCAGCACTTGAACTCAGCTCTGCACCAAGCAGATCTAATAGACATCTACAGAACTCTCCACACCAAATCAACAGAATATACATTCTTCTCAACACCACATTGCAGTTATTCTAAAACTGACCACGTAATTGGTAGTAGAACACTCCTCAGCAAATGGAAAAGAACGGAAATCACAAAAAACTGTCTCTCAGACCACAGTGCAATCAAATTAGAACTCAGGATTAAGAAACTCACTCAAAACTGCACAACTGCATGGAAACTGAACAACCTGCTCCTGAATGACTGCTGGGTAAATAACGAAATGAAGGCAGAAATAAAGATGTTCTTTGAAACCAATGAGAACAAAGACACAATATCTCTGGGACACATTTAAAGCAGTGTATAGAGGGAAATTTATAGCACTAAATGCCCACAAGAGAAAACAGGAAAGATCTAAAATTGACACCCTAACATCACAATTAAAAGAACTAGAGAAGCAAGAGCAAACACATTCAAAAGCTAGCAGAAGGCAAGAAATAACTAAGATCAGAGCAGAACTGAAGGAGATAGAGACACAAAAAACCCTTCAAAAAATCAGGGAATCCAGGAGCTGGTTTTTTGAAGAGATCAACAAAATAGATAGACTGCTAGCAAGACTAATAAAGAAGAAAAGAGAGAAGAATCAACTAGATGCAATAAAAAAAGATAAAGGAGATATCACCACTGATCCCACAGAAATACAAACTACCATCAGAGAATACTATAAACATCTTTATGCAAATAATCTAGAAAATCTAGAAGAAATGGATAAATTCCTGGACACATACACCCTCCCGAGACTAAACCAGGAAGAAGTTGAATCTCTGAATAGACCAATAACAGGTTTTGAAATTGAGGCAATAATTAACAGCTTACCAACTAAAAAGTCCAGGACCAGATGGATTCACAGCAGAATTCTACCAGAGGTACAAAGAGGAGCTGGTACCATTCCTTTTGAAACTATTCCAATCAATAGAAAAAGAGGGAATCCTCCCTAACTCATTTTATGAAGCCAGCATCATCCTGATACCAAAGCCTGGCAGAGACACAACAAAAAAAAAATTTTAGACCAATATTCCTGATGAACATCAATGTGAAAATCCTCAATAAAATACTGGCAAACTGAATCCAGCAGCACATCAAAAAGCTTATCTACCACGATCAAGTGGGCTTCATCCCTGGGATGCAAGGCTGGTTTGACAGACACAAATCAATAAACATAGTCTATCACATAAACAAAACCAAAGACAAAAACCACATGATTATCTCAATAGATGCAGAAAAGGCCTTCAACAAAATTCAACAGCCTTCATGCTAAAAACTCTCAGTAAACTAGGTATTGATGGAATGTATCTCAAAATAATAAGAGCTATTTATGACAAACCCACAGCCAATATCATACTGAATGGGCAAAAACTGGAAGCATTCCTTTTGAAAACCAGCACAAGACAAAGATGCCCTCTCTCACCACTCCTATTCAACATAGTGTTGGAAGTTCTGGCCAGGGCAATCAGGCAAGAGAAAGAGATAAAGCGTATTCAGTTAGGAAAAGAGGAAGTCAAATTGTCCCTGTTTGTGGATGACATGATTGTATATTTAGAAAGCCCCATCCTCTCAGCCCAAAATCTCCTTAATCTGATACTCAACTTCAGCGGAATCTCAGGATACAAAATCGATGTGCAAAAATCACAAGCGTTTCTATACACCAAAAACAGACAAACAGAGAGCCAAATCATGAGTGAATTCCCATTCACAATTGCTGCAGAGAGAATAAAATACCTAGGAATCCAACTTACAAGGGATGTGAAGGACCTCTTCAAGGAGAACTACAAACCACTGCTCAATGAAATAAAAGAGGACACAAACAAATGGAAGAACATTCCATGCTCATGGATAGGAAGAATCAATATTGTGAAAAGGTAATTCATACATTCAGTGGTATCCCCATCAAGCTACCAATGACTTTCTTCACAGAATTGGAAAAAACTACTTTAAAGTTCATATGGAACCAAAAAAGAGCCCATATTGCCGAGACAATCCTAAGCAAAAAGAACAAAGCTGGAGGCATCACGCTACCTGACTTCAAACTATACTGCAAGGCTACAGTAATGAAATCAGCATGGCACGTGTACTAAAACAGATATATAGACCAATGGAACAGAATAGAGGCCTCAGGAATAACATCACACATCTACAATCATCTGATTTTTGACAAACCTGAGAAAAACAAGCAATGGGGAAAAGATTCCCTATTTAATAAATGGTTCTGGGAAAACTGGCTAGCCATATGTAGAAAGCTGAAACTGGATCCCTTCCTTACACTGTATACAAAAATTAACTCAAGATGGATTAAAGACTTAAATATAAGACCTAAAACCCTAAAAACCGTAGAAGTAAACCTAGACAATACCATTTAGGACGTAGACTTGTGCAAAGACTTCGTGACTAAAACACCAAAAGCAATGGAAACAAAAGCCAAAATTGACAAATGGAATCTAATTAAACTAAAGAGCTTCTGAACAGCAAAAGAAGCTATCATCAGAGTAAACAGGCAACCTACAGAATGGGAGAAAACTTTTGCAATCTACCCATCTGAGAAAGGGCTAATACCCAGATTCTACAAAGAACTTAAACAAATTTACAAGAAAAAAACCCATCAAAAAGTGGGCAAAGGATATGAACAGACAGTTCTCAAAAGAAGACATTTATGCAGCCAACAGACACATGAAAAAATGCTCATCATCACTGGTCATCAGTGAAATGCAAATCAAAACCACATGAGATACCATCTCACACCAGTTAGAATGGTGATCATTAAAAAGTCAGGAAACAACAGATGCTGGAGAGGATGTGGAGAAATAGGAACTCTTTTACACTGTTGGTGGGAGTGTAAATTAGTTCAACCATTTTGGAAGACAGAGTGGTGATTCTTCAAGGATCTAGAACTAGAAATACCATTTGACCCAGCAATCCCATTACTGGGTATATACCCAAAGGATTATAAATCATGCTACTATAAAGACACATGCACGTGCATGTTTATTGAGGCACTATTCACAATAACAAAGACTTGGAACCAACCCAAATGTCCATCACTGATAGACTGGATTAAGAAAATGTGGCACATATACACCATGGAATACTATGCAGCCATAAAAAAAGATGAGTTCATGTTCTTTTCAGGGACATGGATGAAGCTGGAAACCATCATTCTCAGCAAACTATCACAAGGACAGAAAACCAAATACCACATGTTCTTACTCATAGGTGGGAGTTGAACAATGAGAACACATGGACACAGGGCGAGGAACAGCACACTCTGGGACCTGTTGGGGGTTGGAGGGCTGGGGGAGGGATAGCATTAGGAGAAATACCTAATGTAAATGACGAGTTGATGGGTGCAGCAAACCAACATGGCACATGTATACCTATGTAACAAACCTGCACGTTGTGCACATGTACCCTAGAACTTGAAGTATAATAATAATAATAATAATAAAGAGTACAGCGTGGGACAGGGAAAAAAGAGTACTTCACTGTTTTGAAACTTGAGAAAAAATGGAGGTGATGGTGGTTGACATTACCAGTGACCAGTCCTGCTGATGGTGTGGAGCTTTGCTATGACCTGCAGGGGTGAATGCTCTGTGATCTTCCTCCTGAGAAGCCCAGAAACCCAACCTAATCATGAGAACTACATCAGACAAGTCCAGATTGACAGACATTCTGACCAGTTCTCAAAGATGTCAAGGTCATCAAAAACGAGGAATGTCTGTGAAACTCCCACACCTAGGGAGCCCCATGGAACAGGAATGTTAAACATAACGTGTCCCGGGTGGGATTCTGGAATACAGAAAGGATACTGGGCAAAAACTAAGAAACCTGAATAAAGAATGGACTTGATTTAACAAAAATGTGTTCAAATCAACAAGACTTAATAAAAGGGGAAATTGGATGTGGGATAGCAAGAGCTCTCTGTACTATCTGTACATTTTTTTCCTGTAAATATGTTTTCTAAAATGTTTCTTAAAAATTTTTAAATGTATTATGGTTATGATTTAAAATATTATAATCCATTTAAGAAACATTCTGTAGTTTTTATAAAGGGGTACTATGTCTGGGATCTGCTTTGATACACATCAGAGTCACGTGTATGAGGTTATGAATGGAACAAGGTTAACAAAATGAGCTATTGAAGCTGGATAATGGACCTCTTAAACTATCTTTTAAAAAATGGCAGATAATACTTGTACATATTTATGGGGTATGTACTGATGTTGTGACACATATCATATAAAGCAATCAGATCAGAGTAATTAGAATATCTATCATCTCAAACATTGATCGTTTTTTTGTATTGGGAACATTCAATATCCTCCTTCTATTTAAAACTATGTATTATTGTTAACTACTTTTATGATAAAATAGTGGTATAATAATACAAAAACCTTGAAAATGAAAGGGCGCAATTCAAAGAAAAAATATTGTAAATAACTAACAAGCATATGGAAAAATGTTTAACTTATCACAGCACAACTGTCTTTATTAAAGACATACGATCTTTATTAAAGTGACTGAGAAATACTTTACAAGAACGCCGTCTGATCACATGGTATCTATTTGTCATGCAGCCTACAATAGATATGTAGGCATTGATATGGAAAGACATTCAAGCTCTTTTAAATGAAAAAGACACCGATGAAACAGATTTTAAAATGTGAGGTGATACTTCTAAATATGTTTGAAAATATGCACAGTAAAATAAAAGTGTAATATATCAATCACATTGTTACCAATGTTTGGGATTGGGATTAGAAGGAATCATGTTTCATTTAATAAAATATTTCACTTAAAAAGAATGGGATTCAATACCATAAAATAAAATTAAAATCCAAAGAAAACATGTTTATTGCAGGATTATTTACTTAAAAAAACAACTGAATGGAACTAAGACACCCAGAATCTACAAAGAACTCAAACAAATTTACAAGAAAAAAACAAACAACCCCATCAAAAAGTGGGCAAAGGATATGAACAGACACTTCTCAAAAGAAGACATTTATGCAGCCAAAAGACACATGGAAAAATGCTCATCATCACTGGCCATCAGAGAAATGCAAATCAAAACCACAATTAGATACCATCTCACACCAGTTAGAATGGCGAACATTAAAAAGTCGGGAAAAAACAGGTGCTGGAGAGGATGTGGAGAAATAGGAACACTTTTACACTGTTGGTGGGACTGTAAACTAGTTCAACCATTGTGGAAGTCAGTGTGGCAATTCCTCAGGGATCTAGAACTAGAAATACCATTTGACCCAGCAATCCCATTACTGGGTATACACCCAAAGGATTATAAATCATGCTGCTCTAAAGACACATGCACACGTATGTTTATTGCAGCACTATTCACAATAGCAAAGACTTGGAACCAACCCAAATGTCCAACAATGATAGATTGGATTAAGAAAATGTGGCACATATACACCATGGAATACTATGCAGCCATAAAAAATGATGAGTTCATGTCTTTTGTAGGGACATGGATGAAGCTGGAAACCATCATTCTCAGCAAACTATCACAAGGACAAAAAACCAAACACCGCATGTTCTCACTCATAGGCGGGAATTGAACAATGAGAACACTTGGACACAGGAAGGGGAACATCACACCCCAGGGCCTGTTATGGGGTGGGGGGAGAGGGGAGGGATAGCATTAGGAGATATACCTAATGTAAATGACGAGTTAATGGGTGCAGCACACCAACATGGCACATGTATACATATGTAACAAACCTGCATGTTGTGCACATGTACCCTAAAACTTAAAGTATAATAATAATAAAAAAGAACTAAGACACTTGTCAAAATTAAAATGTACAGCAATTATTGTGTGTGTGTGAAGCATCAGGCTGCAACTCTGAGCCAACTAGTTCCAGACCAGCTGCTGATCTTAGAGTTTATTGCAGTAGAAATAGATGTTCATAAGACATTGCCTCAAATGTGTATTGGCAAATTATGGCACTATGAGGAAAAAAAATGACCTTGAGAGAATCCTTCAGGTAATCCTGACTTTCCCTGGTCATATGATTTGGCTGTGTCCCCACCCAAATCTCATCTTGAATTGTAGCTCCCATAATTCCCTCATGTTGTGGGAGGGACCCCATGGGAGATAATTGAATCATGAGGGCAGTTTCCCTCATATGTTCTGATGGTAGTTAATAAGTCTCATGAGATTTGATGGTTTTATAAGGGGAACCCCTTTAGCTTGGCTCTCATTCTCTTTGCTTGTCTGCCACCATGTGAGATTTGCCTTTTGCCTTCTGTCATGATTGCCTCACCAGCCACGTGAAAATCTGAGTCCATTAAACCTCTTTCTTTTGTAAATTGCCCAGTCTCAGGTATGCCTTTATCAGCAGTGTGAAAATAGACTAATACACCTGGGAATAAAACTAGTCTTTTTTGAAGATGTGAAAATTGAGCCAAGTTGTGAAGTTCAAATGAATTTCAGGCAGTGGTTTTCAAAGTGTGGTCCCTGGACCAGCAGCATCACCATCTCCCAGGAACGTGGTAGAGCAGCAGACTCCAGGGTCGCACTGCAGACTTACAGAATCTGCCACTCAGGGTGGGGCCCAGGGTCCTCTGTGCTAATATCCAGATGATTCAGATGCAGGTTGAGTTTAGGGCGAAAGAGCTTGGGTGAAGGTAAAAAGAGCTTCAGGTAGACCTTTGGATAATTATATATGTAAAGACACTTCTGTGAATAAAATGTTGTATTTTCTTTGAGTTCAATTGAATAGTGACATTTGTTTATTTTCTTGTGTTCTTCACAAGGATCTTGCAACTATATTTATAAAACTAGGGCACGATGAAATTAAATGCCTGCTTTCAATTTAATGAGAAATTTCTTTTCAATTCTCCTTCTTGCAGATTAGTATTTAACATTCAAACATAAACAATATACAATAAATAATAAAAAATGATAGATAGGTAATTCAACGGAGCTAAAGAAAGGTAATGGAATCTGAAACCTCCTCTTAATGGGATCCATTATATGACCACAAATACAGTTCCACCCAAGAACCAGGAATATAAATGCAAGACTATAGATCTAAGAAAACAATTTGCTGTCTACAAAAAGAAAAAAACCTTAAAAATTGATAAATATGCATGGATGGGGGCCATCAATCTGTTGCCATTAGAGCTGAATCTAGACACAGGACCCGCTGTTTCTCCTAAGAGATGCTCTCCTTAAGTATCAAGTCACATTGCTGACCAAACATTACATTTACTTCCTTTGACTGGGTTAATTTATGGTTGAGAGAGTGCTGTTGGCTTTTCCTGCTAAGGAATATTTGATACTTATGTTACAAGACTGACGTACTCATCCATGAATGTATTCACTTACTCGCAAGTATTTATTAATGGTCTATGTGCGGGGCACTTTATATGTTATTCTACTAGATATAAACATTAGTAAAACATGATTAATTTCCTCTATAAATTCATAGTCTAACACAAAATAAAATATACTCAGAACTTATATACGCCTAAGTAGATAAATGAATGAAAATCGGAATTTAAACAAGCAAAGAAAGAAACCAGAAAGAAGACACACCAATCTGAAAGCTGATAAATATTAACATGGGAGGCAGAAGCAACATAAGCATTTTTTACTTTGTAGTGGGAATGAAATGGGGATATTTACATGGTTACATTTAATGGGTCAATTATCTTATGGTTTATGCACAGAATAAGCTCTGGCTTAAAACGGATCCACAGATCCATTACAGGGCTCCACTGAAAAGATTATGCTTGCAAACTTCAATTTCTCTTCTTGTATAAGAGCCTCAGTAGATTGATATTATATCTGGAATTTCAATAAGATGCAAAATAATGTCAAAGGTAGCACTTACTCTCAGTGAAGTACTCCATAGAATTGAACCCTGTGTGATATTGGTCTACAGCTTGGTAGCTGTAGATTGCAGCACTCATAGTGATTGCAAATCTCTCTTCATAAGATTTCTAATTCCCTGTTAATACCTAAATGGAACTTCAAAGGCAGGGAGGCTTAATTGTCTCTCTGTAATTTAATACTTCTCTGAGGGACTTGATAAGCTTTAGAAACTATGTGAGAGCAGTCCTATTTCTGTTGTAAATTAAATATAGGCGATTAAGCTTGAGATGTTTTTCCCATGGTATATGTCTTTTCACCAATGTGTTATTTAAAATATGATTGTGTCTTTGGATTTCAGTTCCCAAACAGGACCTGTTCCTTTGAAGATCATCCGCACCGTGAAGATGCCCAGTTCAATGGGTGTGGCTGGGATCACGTATTGCAATAACACAAACAAAAGGAGTTTAAACATGTAATATTCCTATCACCTGAATTATTAAGATAAAATGTCATTTAACTGGAAGGATTCCTGGATATTGTAAGAGAACACGCAGGTCTAGTTCATTCGATTGTTCACACACAGTCCCGTGCACCGTGTGTCAGCATAGGCGAATGGGAAGTTTGCGCGTTGAGTGGGGTGTGAATGGAGAATTTGCCCAAGAGACTTGACCAGCCGTGTTCCCTGCTGTCATCTCAGTATCTATAACAGCATCGGCACATGGCAAGCATTCCATTGAATGAATGGATGACTCCACAGAAAGATATCAAAAGCACAAAGAGTCTTTAGTGGCCAATGGGGTTTTTATCGAATCCGCTTAAGGACTTTGTCAGGAGCAGAGAAGTTCCAAGGAGTTTTGTTTGGCTCATGGCTTTTCTGTAGACCTCTTGTTGGCCCTCGAGGTGCAGCTGATATTTGTGAAGGTAAGCATGGTAGGTGGAATTCTGAGAGGGCCCCCAAGGCGCCCCAGCCCTGAATTAAACGCCCTGTGTGGTGCCCGCCCTGAGTGCAGGTGGGGGCTGTGACCGTGACGGTGCATGGCTCCCATGGTTACACTGCGGGCTGCAGTAAGAATTCTTTGCTGGGCTTGAAGAGACCACCGGCCTTACAGGGACCTGCTGTGGAGGCCACAGGGCAGGGACTCGAGGTTGTCCTCCAGGAGCTGAGGGCGGTAGGCAGCCTACAGCTGTCGAGGACATGGAAACTCAGCCCTACGGCCACAGGCAATGGCTCTGCTGATGCCAATGAGCCTGGAAGAGGACCCTGAGCCTCAGATGGGAGGGACACTCGAGCCAGCCCCTTGACTTCAGCCCGGTGAGACCCAGGAGGACCTAGCAGCTCACACTCAGCCTCCTGACCCAGGGAAGCTGGGAACTGATCAGTGTGTTGTTGTAAACACTAAATTTGCAGTCATTTGTTATGCAGCAAAAGGGAAAAAAAATAGACGTATCCGGATATGTTCAACTTAAAAAGACGCCCACCTACCCGGATACACCTGGGGTGGTGGGTACTGTCTGTCCCTGGGGACGCAAGAAGCCCACACTCTCCAGTCTCCCTGTAGTTATATCAGGGCTCAGTGTCAGTGAGTTAAGGCCAGTGGACTTCAAGACCTTGCCCTTAAAAATATCCCTCAACGGCCGGGCATGTTGGCTCACGCCTGTAATCCCAGCACTTTGGGAGGCCGAGGCAGGCAGATCACCCGAGGTCAGGAGTTTGAGACCAGCCTGGCCAACATGATGAAACCCCGTCTCTACTAAAAATACAAAAAATTAGCCGCTGGGTGTGGTGGCGGGAGCCTGTAGTCCCAGCTACTCGGGAGGCTGAGGCAGGAGAATGGTGTGAACCTGGGAGACGGAGCTTGCAGTGAGCCGAGATCGCACCACTGCACTCCAGCCTAGGCGACAGAGTGAGACTTCATCTCAAAAAAATAAAAATAAAAATAAAACTCTAGTCTCCCATGCAGCCAGCTCTGCGTGAATTACTCCTCATTGCAATCCCTGTGTCTTGAGAAATCAGCTCTGTCTAGAAAGCATGCGAGGTGAACCCACTGGGCAGTTACAAATTATGGGAAAATATACAGGAAAAGATGAGGGAACACAGGCAGCATGACGGAAATAAGGAGACCTCAGGAAAGTTGCGATCCAGCTTATCAGAGCCTGCAGATGCTTAAGGTTTTATTTCTTTACTGTGAATGCCTTTGCATAACAGAGAGCTCGGAGAAAGAATTTACCAGGAGGACATGGTTGATATCCTGTCTCATAATGCTAACTTGTACTTGCCCAGCCTTCAAAAATAGATATTTGGGAGGAGAAGGTGATTGTTCGTTCAACAGAGTTTTCCTGAGTGTAGATTGAACCTGTTTTTATAGCTGTATTGGGGAGAAAATGATGCCCTAAAGTGGAAACCTCAGAAGCAAAGTCTCCCTCTGACATTCTCCTGCCCTCCTGTCTCGGATCCTCATTCTCCCCCAAGGCCACCATAGAAACTAGAATCCATCTTTTCCAAAGTGGGTCATAGAAAACAGAACCTCTTTTCTCAAAGCCAGTCATAAAACCTACAATAATTACTCTAATGTCTCCCTGCCTTTCTGGGTAAGAGTTGGCCTTAAATAAACTATCTGACCTAATTTGCTTGACTGTAGGTTCTAAGACGCTCATTCCAGAGAGGGTCCTGCCCCATGCTTGGGATGAAGAAAACTACACAGACGGGCCTAGAAGACTGAGCAGACAGGCCTTGTGGGTGTAGCTGCCCCAAGGGTTCACCTTGCTTGGGATGAAGGAAACTGCACAGAGGGGCCTAGAAGACTCTGAGCAGACAGGCCTTGCGGGTGTAGCTGCTGTGTGGGTTCACCTGGCCTGCTGCCTAGACAGAGCTGATTTATCGAGACAGGGGAATTGCAATCAAGAGTAATTCATGCAGAGCTGGCTGTGCAGGAGATAGGAGTTCCACTATTATTTAAATCAGCCTCCCTGAGTATTCGGGGATCAGAGGTTTTAAGGATAATTTCATGGATAGGGGGCAGCCAGTGAGTCAGGAATGCTGATTGGCTGGGTCAGAGATGAAATGATAGGGAATCAAAGCTGTCTTGCACTGAGTCAGTTCCTGGGTAGAGGCCGCAAGATCAGATGAGGCAGTTTATGGATCTGGGTGATGCCAGCTTTTCCATCGAGTGCAGGGTCTGCAAAAAGCCTCAAGCGCTGATCCAAAAGCCCCAAAAGCAATTTGGGGAGGGTCAGAATCTTGAAGCCTCCAATTGCATGACCCCTAAGCCATAATTTCTAATCTTTTGGTTAATTTGTTAGTCTTACAAAGGCAGTCTAGTTCCCAGGCAAGAAGGGGGTTTATTTTGGAAAAAGGCTGTTACTGTCTTTGTTTTAAACTAAAAGCTAAGTTCCTCCCAAAGTTAGTTCAGCCTACACCCAGAAATGAACAAGGACAGCTTGCAGGTCAGAAGCAAGATGGAGTTGGTTAGGTCAGATCTCTTTCCCCGCCTCGGTTATAATTTTGCAGTGGCGGTTTTGATGGGTTTCCCCCTACAGCCTATTACTCCTAGATGCTGGTAGTCTATGATTTATTAGATTATACCGCTTTTGTCCCAGCCCACTTCTACACAGCTGGCTCTGCTTCATTGAACCTAAGCATAAAATCAGACCACTTCCTCCATATCTTTGGGTCTTTGATCCGAAAGCTTCTGTGTCACATAAAATTATGATTACATAAATGTGTTCTGCTTTTCTCTTGTTAGCCTGTTTTTGGCTATAGTGGTGTTGGTCATGGCCCTTAGGCTGAGTGAGGAAATGGATCACGTCTTTCTGCCACTGAAATTTGAAGTGGGAGAGACTTCAGCTGAATTCCACACTCAGTGCAATGTGTGAAGGGCATATTTATTTTCAAATGGAAGATATGAACATTTCTAGAGTGTGCCCAAATGTGCAAGCTATACATTTTACATAATATTTCTTAAAATTATATAGTTTATTGCCATTTAAAAATATGTGAATGAGATGTTTGTTAGAAACTTAACAGCTTTACATTTGAAATGCATTTGCAAACAATAGAAATATCATCTAACCAAATGACAATTTTAGGTTTATTCACATTCTCTTCTTCACTTACATGAAACAACTATCAATTTCACTCCAATGTAACCATACAAACAATAGAATTCTGCAAAGAAAGAAAAGAAGAGAAAAGTAAAGAGAACATCCGAGAACCACATTCAAGATTCACACATTCAAGTGAGATTTGGTAGGAAAAATAGGTTCTTTATTGGGTTAAAGCAGAATTGAACCCGGGGGAGCAATCTGATGGGGGATTGTGGAGAGGTGATTTTTGTACTGCAGAATGGCCAATCCTGTTTTAAACCTTGAAGACTGATTTGTCCCAATAGCTTCCTTGCCTGGAAAACTGTCTCGTTTCAGGTTATTACAATCAAAGCAGTTGACCAGAAAAGCTCTAGAAATATTTAAAGTTACTGTGTAGAAGTTCTTCCAAACTTATAAATTGAATAGTTTTTCTCATTTTACTTTGGGCTTTGAAAAATTATTTAATAATTGTTTTTGAAATATACTAAAAAATACACAAAAAGGAGACTGAAGCTGGTCTGGTAAAGATGCAACAACTTTATTTAATTTTATATCCTGTCAAGTGTATCTCCATGCATTGGTTTCTTAAAAGCAGCATAACTGATCATTGATTCTTTAGGAACATAATAATAAAGTAAGGCATTTTTGTTAATTGCATAAAATTTTCCAGATGACCCTTTTCTTAAAAAAAGAAGCAGCAGTTGATGTTCATGCCTGGAAAATTCTATGAAAGACAATATATTCTCAGTTTATAAAATGAATGTTCTTCATGGCGTGTTTGAGATTTCAGTATTAGAAATGTGCTTTTAAAATTTTTGGCTTTGATGCCCTCCTAGAGAATCCTTAATTCACAGTAACTTCATGGCCTTTTGCAGCAAACTCAATTACATTTCCAGCATTAAATACTTTTCAGCCAACTGAGATGATAAACATGACTTTAAACCTTGCAGTAATGACAGCCTCCAACTTTCCATTTTCTCTGATTGAATGAACCCAGTAAAAATAGACTTTGAAAATTTCTCTGTTGATGTCACAGGTTCAAACATTATATAAAGGACTCCAAATGTTGTATACTTTAAATTAAATATAGGTAAGAACTATAGGTAAACACAGTGGTAAAGGAAATTGTCTTGGAGAGATCAAGGTTAGGAGGAAAAATAAACCCACAACAGAAAAGAAAGTGTCTCTTATTCTACAACCAAAGATTAATGTTGGGACAGCAAGATCACTGTGAGATACTTGTAGCCAATCATCCTGTTTGGTCTATTTTATAAAAACTCTCATTTATTTTGGTATTGTATCCATGATAAATGTTTCTTTTAGAAGAAGTACACTCTACGTGGTGTGAAGGTTTCCCAAGAGGTCCAGCAAGGCCTTACTAAGTGTGGGCATGCGTTATCACCTAACCTCTATTCTCTATAACAATATTTCTATTTTAAAAGAAGCATGTCTTTATTTTAGGAATGTGATAAGCACACTGGCTGAGTGGGAAGTGTGTCTAGTTCTTTTTTTCTTTTTCTTTTTTTTTTTTTTTTTGAGACGTAGTCTCGCTCTGTCGCCCAGGCTGGAGTGCAGTGGTGCGATCTCGGCTCACTGCAAGCTCCGCCTCCCGGGTTCATGCCATTTTCCTGCCTCAGCCTCCGGAGTAGCTGGGACCACAGGCGCCCATCACCACGCCCGGCTAATTTTTTTGTGTTTTTTAGTAGAGACGGGGTTTCACCGTGTTAGCCAGGATGGTCTCGATCTCCTGACCTCGTGATCCGCCGGCCTCGGCCTCCCCAAGTGCTGGGATTACAGGCAGAAATGTGTCTAGTTCTTTAGAACAGGGCAGCAGGGAAACATAAAGGCTCTTCATACATGGTGTGCCATAAACATTACTATTTTTCTGTTTAATGTGCATTTTATCATTGATTTCTCCTTGCTTCCGGGGTGGCCGAGAAGCTGTCATATTCCCCTCGATCCAATTCAGCAAAGCTGCAGCAGGAATGTGAGCACCTCCACCCAGCTGCGTGGGCATCCTGGTCAGCAGACGCACTCACTTCCTGAGGGCACACTGGCTGCACGCCCAGCAGGTGCAATGCCGTGGCCACTGTCCCTGGACAGGAGTTCACTACGGGGACAGAACCCAGGTCAAATTTTTATAGTCTTCTTGTTTAGTGAAATAAGTATCATATAATTCTTTATAAGCTGATGATAGTTATTACAGATCATTAAAGACAGGGTTTTAACTTGTTTTTCTCAGCCTCGGGATTTAAAAAGTTTAAAGTTCATTTAAAAATTCCTCTGGTTTTCATAAAATTGCCCTATTTATAAAAATTGTGAATCTTATCCAAAGTATTGTAAAAAATTATATATTTAAAATAATAACTGGCCAGGCATCGTGGCTCATGCTTATAATTCCAGCACTTGGAGGGGTCAGTGCAGGAGGATGACTTGAGGCTAGGAGTTCAAGACCAGCCTGGGCAACATAGCAGACCCCATCTCAACAAAATAGTTTTTTAAAAATTAGCCAAGCATGGAGATGTGTACCTGTAGTCCTAACTACTCAGGAGGCTGAGGTGAGAGGATCTCTTAAGCCTAGGTGTTCAAGGCTGCAGTGAGCTGTGATTATACTACTGCACTCCAGCCTGGGTGACAGAGCAAGACTCCATCTCTAAAATAAACAAACAAACAAACAAACAAAATAACTAAAGATAGTTTCATCAAATTGCTAAAAATACAAGAATTGTATCTTGTTCTTTATAAATGTTCCATTATGTCTGTAAACACATAGAGCGACTGAAGTAACTATCAAAGGATTTTCAGTATAGGGGTAGCTTGGCTGACTTGAAAAGTGGATAAAATTATTTCCTGAAAAAGAATGCCTAGTTCTGATAGCAGATAGTGAGGACAGCCTCCCACACCAGAAAACCGTCACTAAGGGGCATGCTTGGTGCTTCCCTGAAAAACGCGGAACACGCCTCACTTTGTCTTCTTCAAGGGAAGGAGGCTCATATCTCAAACCTTTAAAATAAAAGTAAGAAATTCATCAGCAGAAGGCCAAGGAATGGGTTAATATTTGAATATTATTCAGTGTCTTCTAATGGATATATCTATATCTATAAAGAATACGCTTACAGAGAAATAACAATTTAAACTTTATAAATAACAAGGATAGGGAGGATGTTGGAAAAATAACCTCTAATCAGTACCAATCAGTAATTAAGTCGATATGTAAACTTTCTTGCCAATTTGGCAATATAAACACAGTTTAAGCCATGTACACACAGCGTTTCACTCCTAGGTGTGTGTTCCGGAAAAGCTCTCCCATACGAATAAGCAGATGTGTAAAGACGTGCCTTATATGCAGAACTGTGACAGGTCTCAGAGTTTCCCTGCTTGGACACCAACCTGTTAGCCTGCCACAGTTTCAGGGATGCTGGAGGAGACACAAGACTCCTGGCTTAGAGACACAGGTGGTTTATCACGAGCTCCAACAGTGGCAGCCAGAATGCCATCACCTTTGTGCCAGTGCCTTGAGCAAAACACTGCCACAGAGCAGTATGAGCAGACCTCGGTGACAGCTGCATATGCAGTGGGCTCAGTTACGGGAAGGGGAACCTAAGCTTTAGGGACCTGAATCTTTCGTAAAGGGCAGTGATCTGCCGACCCTTGCTCCAGAGGGAGGCTCTGCTATATTGGGCAGTCAGCATGCTTGCCTTAGCTGCTAAGGTAGATACTATCTCTGTCTTCCAGAGCTGCAGACAAACCCAACCTTTGCACATCAGGAAGATGCTATTCCTTTCTTCCAAGGCTGCTCATGACACAGGCATCTGGAAAAGATAGTCTGAAACAGAGGGAGGGGTGTCCCACTAAAGGATGTGCAGAAGTCTGAGACGCAAAACCCATAAAAATGGTCTTTTAGAGTAATGCGGTGTTATCTCTTATATAAATGTAGGTTACTACATTGCTATGGGTTTTAGAATGTGTGTGTGTGTGTGTGTATGTTCTTTACATACAACTTTAAAACATACTGTTACATACTGACATGTGTAATACAATTTTATTTTCCAATAAAGATGCAGAGAAAAAATACCCAACCACTTTAAGAAAGCAGTGTCCTGTAAGAAGGAAGAGAGAATGGGAGAGGTGTTTCCGTTTTGGCTTGATATTTAATATTTGATTGCTAAAAAGCAATTCTAAAGAAAGAGTTTAATTTGTATTACATTTCGATGATGAGGACTACAGAGTATTAATTTTGATTAGAATGCCATCTGTCTCTTTTATATTTATATATACTAAACACACACACACACACACACACACAACACAAATGCATAGTTCTTCAAAAAAATTCAGTACCTCAAAAACAATAGTTTAGTTAGACTATGGCAACCAGAATAAATGGATTCCTGATTTTGGCCATACTGCTTGGAGGACACTTGATTATAATATTCTGAATCCCTACCATTCTTATCAAATTAAATAAATTGTGCCTCAGGTTTGAAGTCTTAAAAATACAACAAGAAGTGCATTTGTTATAGAGAATTTAGGGGCCAAGCGTTCCCCCTATGGGGCCTGACTTAATCAGAACCTGATCTGCACTGTATGGAACCATCTGTATTTTTGGGAAGCAAATATGCCTTTGCACATCTTCTTAATACGGTGCAGGTTATTCACTGGCATGGACCACTCTATTACAAATCTGTGGATGAGGTTTACCGAGACCCACGGTTTCCCACGATGTTGTGTTGGAGTAATGTGTACTAATCACAAACAAAATAGTCTTTGATGGATCTCACGGAGTTCAAGTTACATTTCATGTTGAAAATTTCTGCCCCATAAAAAACTGAAAACCTGATTTCCTAGTAATAAAGGAAACACAAAATACTTTTCCTTTTTTTTTTTAACTTCTTTGAAGGTTCAGCAGAGATTTTAATGGGCAATTTAGAATATGAACCTTCCATTTACAGTAATCTTGAACATGGATAATGCAATTATCATATGCAGCATGAGTCTCTCCCATGTAGCTCATAAAGTAGTAGGCATTTGTGTTCTAAACAAAGAGCTAAGATATTTTTTAAATATGAACTTCACAACAAGAATAATCTTTGACATATGAATTGAGAAAGAACAACAAAAGGGAGGAAAGGAAAAAAGAAGAAAAGAGAAAAAAAGACTTCCAGGCAGTTCATAGATTATAATCTTCAGTAATATGTTTCCCATATGATCAGTTAAGCCCTCCACAGATCGGCCACAGTGAACATGTCAGAGTCCAAAAGACCACTTAATGTTTGAAACTTTATAGCTATGTTTTCCTACTGCTAAATGTGCCTGTGCCTTTCCTGTTTCTATTTATATCTTGTATCATTTCTCACTCACCCATTATTTATCCTTCTGTTTGACTTATATCATCATTGATATTGTTCTTTCAACCATCTAACTTTTTCCCTCTTAGTATTCTATTTTAATCCCCTAATTTTTTTAAGGAGAAATAGTAAGACGCATGAGTCAGTTTCACAGCATGAATCACTCATTTCTTGTGTTGAAACCGAGTTGATGGGAAGACACTTGCTGTGGGTGCCGTAACCGGTGTTAACTGATCACCAACCTTACGTCAGGCAGTGCCCATGTATCTGCGATTCTAAAATAAAAATCTTAGGTGAGCTGAAGCTCTCCAAGGGCTCACATTTCTAGTAGCCCAAGACCAGAGCACACACAGAAATGGACAGGGGGGTTTCAGGGCTGGCAAGAATGCGAGGAAGATGCAAGGGCTTGGTGACCCCGAACATCATCATGCATGGCGGCTACCCAGGGATTGTGAAAACGCAGACTGCAGCCCCCGCGCCCCACAGCGGGATCACTGCATGTTCACATGTGGAAGTGAATCAGAGAATGAAGCTTAATCCTTGACTTCACGGAGCTCACATTCTAATGGAAGAGACAGAAAATTTGCCAATAAACATTTATTCAAAAACATTTATTTCAGAGTGCCCATGTCAAGCCACGCATGACATAAAATATCCCCAAGAGCAATTTTGACTATTACTCAGCACTTGTATTATTCACTCTTTCTATTAAGATTAGAATTCCTGTAGCACTCCACAGTGCAATTTCACACATGCTTAATGCAATCAAATCGTTAGGGATGATTCCGAGGCTGGGCTTGATTTTAAGTCAATTGATGTGGGAAAAAGCCTTTTTTTTTTTTTTTTTTTTTTTGCATGGTTATGGTCTCAGGGATCTTTCCCCACTTCCCCTAACCATCTACCTCCCAGCATTGCACCATCAGAGGGTAAGGGCCCTTCAAAGCATGGGGTCTGGCACAGGTGTCTCCTGGGCTGAAGGAGGGGCTGCCTGTGTGGCCCTGCTCGCCTCCTGGCTGCCATCATTCCCCTCTTTCACTCTTGATGTTTCTCCTGCAACTTCTTTTCAGCTGGAAGTGCCTTTTTAAAAAAATGCCAAGGAGGAGAAAAGGGCAAATGATGACATGGTGCCAACACCATCTTATTATTGTTCATTAGTAAGTCTCATGTCTCCCTAAAATGTAGAAAGCAAGCTGTACCCCCAGAGCCATGGGCATCTGTCCTCAGGACCTCCCAAGGCTATGTCACAGGAGCATCCTTAACTTCCTGAATTGACTGAGACCTGCCTCAGCTATTTTGAATTCACATAGGTTATAGTGTCCTTCTGCTGCTGCTGAGAACCAGAGCTCTTCGTAAATTAATTTAGAATACTTCCTGTTTCTGTTTTGCAAATCTCTGATTAAATAAGAATTAAATGGAAGTCATCAGGATCCTGGAACAGTTAACCTATTCTTGACCTGAGGGGGTGATGGTTCTTCTCCTGTGACCTCTGACACAGTGGAAATTCCATAGAGTGACTTATTTCACACATAATCAACACAGAGAGGATGGTGACTGAAAGAACCTGGCCTAGGACTTTGTTTGGATTTCTGAGTCTGAATTGAGTGAAATTAATGTGGCTTGTCAGGTAGATAAGGGAGGAGGGGTGCCAGCATCCCAGAGACCCTACACACTCTCAGAGGTGACCGTGTCCCACTCCCTACCGACACTGCCCCTACTCTGCCTCTAAGCATTTCTGCAAGAGTGAGTCAAAATCGCTGGTAAAAGTCCAAATTCCTCAGGTGTTAGGGGAAAGAAAATAGTTTAAAATGATCTGTGGTGAAGACCTAATCTGGTATAAAATTCTTTCTGGGACTTGCAATTGTTGGTGTAAATACATGCAAATTTTCTTACCATCTTTGACTCTGATATTTTATAATTTGAAATGAACTCAAGAGGCAAAAACTTATCATAGGTAAATGCATTTTTTCTTCCTTTTGAAAACAGTTTAAAACACTACAAGAAGAGCTGAATCTTTTAACCTCTGCTCTTACGACACTTCATTTCAGGGAATTCGAGCTTAGACAGTAACATAGATGGGAATGTGTTTTCCAGGAGGGAAGCAGAGCTGCCAGGCCTCCCTAATGCCTGGGCTGGAAACACTCAGAATGCCACTGTCTCTGTGTTCTGCACTAGGCCCAGAATAGAGAGGGGCAGCCTTGGTGACTGCCTCCCGCTGGCATTGTGAAAATCACTGTAAGGGGAAAGAACGAGGTGCAAAATGAGCTGCAAAACTCAAGAAAGACACAGGAGAGAAAAGCCCAACAAAATGAAAATCCTGTTGGAAGCAGAAGACTTGGTCTTAGACACTGCTGAAAATGCAATCAGGACATGAGAGAGGTTTTGAGAAAATTGAGAAAAATTAAATGGAAAAGAACAATGTGTTTAAACTAATTAGAGAAAGGATGTTAGATGTGAGAATGAAGCAGGTTGTATCAGTCCATTCTCACACTGCTATAAAGAACTGCACAAGACTGGGAGATTTGTAAAGAAAGGAAGTTTAATTGACTCACAGTTCCGTATGGCCGGGGAGGCCTCAGGAAACTTACAATCACGGCGGAAGTCATCTCTTCACAGGGCAGCAGAAGAGAGAATGAGTGCCAGCAAGGAAAATGCCAGACACTTATAAAACCATCAGATCTCCTGAGAACTCACTCACTATCATGAGAATAGCATGGGGGAAACTGCCCCTATGATTCAATTACCTTCCACTGGGTATCTCCAATGACACGTGGGGATTATGGGAACTACAATTCAAGATGAGATTTGGGTGGGGACATAGCTAAACCATATCACCCATTGAAGCAAATATTCTTGAAAAAGAACAAAGTAAGTTTTCACAGAAACGTTCAAAATTAGCTGAACGACATTCCTCAAAAATGGAAGATTGGATCAGTAGGTTTAAAGTACAGAGACTGCTTTAAGTGGAAAAAATGATTTGGATCAATTACCACTGAGCTATCCTAGTCAATCGACTGAATTTTAAATGTAGTAGAGACAGTCTAAGGACTTCTGGTTAAACAAGTCATTTGTATGGAGGAAGTAAGCCAGTGAAGCTCAGACTTCCCACAGCCACACTAAGGCACACTGTGGAACAAGCTAACATCCACAGATGCTCTGACTCACAGAGGCAGGGTGACCTGCTGTGGAGTCCTTCCCCTCTCTGTGCTGCCACAGGGTGTGGGCTGTGCTCTCTAACAGGGCTCATCCAGGCTCCACACTGGGGCCACTGCCTCATGCCTCCTTCCCTGGCTGCCTAACCTGTCATACACTTGACAGGGTCATGGCGCCCAGAGCTTCCCATGTACATCTCACCCTGTGGACCCTCCTCAGAACACCTGTATTCCTCACCCTCCACTCAGACCCATTCTTTAGTATTCAACGTAGTTGTCCCTTCTAAGAATCCTTCCCTGACCACCCCCTAGGCCCTCACCTGCCGGGCTGGGTGGGAGCTTTCCCCTGTGCTCCATCCACCACCTTTTCTACTGCACCTACAGCATCCCTACTGCAGTGATCTCCTTCTGCATCCACCATGGCTTCTTTGGGGCATGGAACATGTTACATCCTGTAAGCTTATTCCCATAGTCTGGCAGGTAGATTTTTCACAAGATTTAATTCCTGTCTGCCCAATAAATAATCAAGTGTACAGACTTAGATGAAATTGTCATTAAAAGCTCTTTAAAGGGGATGCAAACTTTAGTAATTGAATCAATTTTGTTGGTTGAAAATGTATCCACATCATAAGTGGATGCTCATTTTATAATGCATACCTAACAATCCGTGGGCATATCATTGCCTCACAGTTTACTGTTAAGATTTCTTAAATGAAAATACAGCATAGAAAATTAAATTCTGGTGAGATTCTGGGTTTGTATTTGTTTTCTGCAAACCATGCTGGATTGCTTAAGAATTCAGAATCATTCTTCAAAAGTCCTTAAGGTGAAGGTTGATTTACATAGTGCTTGGCCCAAGCCACTTGCTTTCCTGGAAAAGGATTCTTCAAGGCCTCATTTATCTTCCTTCTGTGCAACAAAGTTTCTGGCAATGGGGTTAAGAATCTGTCAAAATAAAAGATGTTGTGATCATTCAGTGGATAATTCATTAAAGCAGCGTCTGTGGAGCATGGTGTGCTGGGGACACAAAGGCAGAAGGTGAGCCCTTTCCTTCACGATCACAAGACAGTGGAGATGCATGAGTAGCAGAAAATTGCAAAGCAGTCTCATAATTTCTGGGCAGAATTAAGTTGATTAACAATTACAAATAGAACACCTTCATTATGGAGACTCAAAATATCTGGGGGTTAAAATGACTTTTTTTTTTATTAGAACAGAATAATTTGGTCTGAGGGCTCTCATTGCATAAGATACATACGCCAAGAAACTTTTAAACTCTATCTTGATGCCAGAAAAGTAAAGTTTCCAAGCTCTTCTAAAATTCTACATCCTATATCTATGCTAGAATAAAGATCTTATTACCTCTACTTCATTTGATTAATTTAGCAATCAAGATTATTAAAACACTTTAAAATTATGCAGAAGGCAAAAATTTAATCAAACCATTCATCCTTCTTTGATGAAAATGGAGGTCTAGTGAGGGTGTTTTGCTAAAGCCTTGCTCAGTGTTGTTGTTTTGTAGGTGTCTTAGTTGATGTAGCCTGCAGTCACACACATCACATTCATACTGAAACACATACTGATACTCTTTAAGGAACCCATTTTTATGTTTATGACAATTCAGTGTCTTTACTCAGACATTAGAACACATCTAGGAAAAACAAACAAACAAACAAAAAACTTCCAGTGAGAAGTATTCTTTCCTCAATAAAATCACTGGAGCATAGCTTAAGACATCATCTTCATCATCTACAAAATGTTCTGAAAAACCAAGGCCTGTTGTGAGGAAGAAGCTTTGTATTAGGCCGTTCTTGCATCACTATAAAGAAACATCTGAGACTGGGTAATTTATAAAGAAAAGAGATTTCATTGGCTCATGATTCTCCAGGCTGTAAAGGAAGCTTGGTGCTGGCATCTGCTTGGCTTCTAGGAGGCTGCAGGAAGCATCCAATCATGGTGGAAGGTGAAGTGGAAGCAGACAAGTCACATGGCAGGAGCAGGTTGTATCAGTCCATTCTCACACTGCCATATGAACTGCACAAGACTGGGAGATTTATAAAGAAAGGAAGTTTAATTGACTCACGGTTCCGTATGGCCGGGGAGGCCTCAGGAACTCCAGGGACGGTGAGGGGGTGACACACACATTTAAATGACCAGATCTCAAGAGAACTCACTATCATGAAGACAGTGCCAAGCCATGAGGGATCCACCCCCATGATCTAAATGCCTCCCACCAGGCCCTACCTCCGGCTCTGGGGATTACAGTTCAACATGAGATATGGTGGGGACAAATATCCAAACCACAGCAAGAGCAAGCTTGCCCTAGTGAAGGGATTCAAGAGGATCAAAGGCAAACTCTGCAAGCAAGGGGAGGGGGTCAGCTCCTAAAAAAACCTACAGCATGCAAGTCCAAGGTTGAACATGATAGCTGCGCTGTCTAATATGAGCCTTTTTTAAATAAATAAAACCTGAAGGCTGTAGGACTTTTACATATATATATGCCCTATACAGCTTGCCTTCATACATTTCAGGATATACAACAGTACTTATAAATGGCTGTGAGTACAAGATCAAAATTCATTCTAATGATGCATCAACAATCTCTGTATTTTAAAAATGTATAATATCACAATCTTAGGTTCTGTGTCTAATGCGTTTCTGATACAGGAGCTTGATAGTACCGCTGTGTCACAGAGACACATGTTTTTCATTCCTCAGTCCCAGGAGTGGAAGCCACAGTGGGAACTATGGTCTTTTGAGCAGCATGAGCGGGTCCCAAGTGGAGAGGGCCCTGCCACCTGGGCCGCATGACCCCCACACACTGCTGTCTCCGCGTCTCACTGGTGGAAAACGTGCCAGTGGAGCTTGGGGAAAGTGCCCAGGGAGAAGCCAAGCAGCTTGGAGTAGAGAATCGCACACCCTCAAAAGCAGCCCTCTGGGTAGCCCAGAGCCACCATGTGACCATGTGACTGAAGCTGCTCACCTGGCATCTACAAATCCTCACATTATCCAAAAAGAATGGAACGTGCCTCTGCTAATTTTTTTTTTTTTTACCTTGAACTTCAAATTTGTCTAAGACTATTTTCCAAACAAAATGCCCCTGGGTGTCCTCTCTCCTACAACTGGCCCTGACCAACCCATATCTTGAATATTTTCTCTGCCTCTGTATTAGTCCACTCTCAGGCTGCTGATAAAGGCATATCTGAGACTGGGTGATTTATAAAGAAAAAGAGGTTTAATGAACTCAGAGTCCCACTTGGCTGGGGAGGCCTGACAATCATGGCAGAAGAGCAAGGGACGTCTTAAATGGTGGCAGGCAAGAGAGAATGACAGCCAAGCAAAAGGGGTTTCCTCTTATAAAACCATCAGCTCTCCTGAGACTTATTCACTACCATGAGAACAGTATGGGGGAACTGCCCCCATGATTCAATTATCTCCCACTGGGTCCCTCCCACAACACCTGGGAATTATGGGAGTTACAATTTAAGATCAGATTTGGGTGGGGACACAGCCTAACCATATCAGCCTCCCTATGGAAAACAAAATGAGATTTTAGAAATGCTCTGTTATAGATGCATAGCATGATTTTGTGTACATGTATTGAAGAATGAATGAAGACAGAATAAAGTTACTTGATCATCAGACATTAATCAGGTAATTCTGTCAGACCTCAAAGTTGATTTAGCTAGATATTAATTTTCAGATTTCAGTTACTCATTTCACAAATATTTTGTTAAATCAGGTGCACGTTTTTAAGTTATTTGAGTTATTCAGAGGAATGATGCTATGAAATTTAAAAATTATTTTAATATCAAAATATTAAATCTTTATATTATATACCTAGATATTTGCACACTAAATTAAACCAGGAACAGAAATACATGCAGTTTAAAATGATTAAATTGATCATACAAGAGACAAACTTCTCAGTATTATCTATTATATAGGCATATCTGTGACATCCACAAACACACATATTCATAGCAATCTTATATTGGATAAACTTGTCTTGTTCTCTGAAACAATTGTACCTATTTTGCCTCTGTAATTTAATGGGTTGCTGGGGAACTTGGTGTTTTTGGATTTATTTCTTAAAAAGGTCATACAATGAGCAGCCATCCCAGAATACACTTTTTCAAAAGCTCTTTTTCAGTGTCCCTAATAGAAGCCTCATTTCAGTGTGTAAGCAGAACATTTGCAATTTGGTTTTAATTTTTTCCCTGTGGCACTCATTTGTATTTCACGTGCTTTGGCCTCTCTTGTCTCTTTTCATTTTTTCTGTGCATTAATTATCTTTTGCTATGTTTTAAGTGTCAGAAATGTGCTTCTTGGCTTTTAATATTGGCTTTAGTTCTGCCTCACTGATCCTTGAAAGACACAATTGTTTCTGATTAATTACCTTTCTCATCTGTAAGAGTTGAGGAAGGAAGAAAGGAGCATGAAAGGTGGCTCAACAGTCAAAGACAGGTTTATTTTAGAGAATAAACCTGACGGGGGCTTCTGGCTGAGTTAGGTCAGGAGCTTTTTCTCTTACAGACTAGGGGTATTTAAGGGATCAGGGGCTCATGAGGAGGGGGTGCCTTATCCTCCTAGGGCCTGATGGTTCAGTTAGGACCAGGTGTGCTATTTATATAGAGCAGAGTATTTATCAGCTCTCACCCCATTCCCAGACCACATAGGCCAACTTTTAGTCTGTATCTCTTTGTCTTGCTTATCAGGGAGAAAGAGTTTTTGTGTTTGTTCCCACACATCTTCCTGCAGCTTCAGGGATACTCCCCAGTCGGCCTTAACTTCCCTATCTTCATTCACCTAAAAGGAAAGGAATGTGCTTATTATGGCCCACTGTTTCACTGGGGCCCACTGTGTAAATATGAAGTTTGGTGATTACCAAGGAGACTTCTCCCCTTCTTCTGTGCCCGAGCTGTTTTATGTGTGTTTTGCTGTCTGCTTTTTCTGGCTGCTTGTTGTTAGAAGAGAAGTAATTTCCTTGAAATGCATGAGGTTAGAAAGGGAGCTGGAATTTAAAATGGTGATGTTTGTTCAAGATGATGGTGCTTCTGCTCTGTCATCATCTAAGAACATTCTTGTTACATTTCATTTGACGTTCAAATTGCTTTAACTTAAGTCTATGCTACTGAGAATGTGCTGGATTTGAATCAGCCGTTCAGCAAACACGTGGTGAGTGTGCCCGCCGTGTGCCAGGCATGGGGCTGTGAGCTGAGAAGGTGCACCTGGTCTGCAACCTTTCAACGCAGGCAAGCACCAGCCAGGTGATTACAAATAGCTAAATAGTTGTAGGTGTGGAAACCACCTCACTGGGAACCACAGGGTGCGTGGGGGACGCTACAGATAATCCTTGGGAGGAAGGAGGCTGGGATGCTTGTGAGGCCTGCTCCGAGAACAGCATTGGATGGGGTTTCAGAGTCACAACTCCACAAGGGGAGACGAAGGCTTCCAGGGGGAGGAATCGAGGCTTTTGACAGCCTTGCAGGGACAGAACCTGTGTCAGGTGGAATAACTGCTGTTGAGGAGGTGAGCACAGGAGTCTGAGGGCCTAGGGGCCACCTTCCATTCAGCATTTTGAGCTTTACTCTGCTTGAAAGAGGAAGCTGCTGAGGGCTGGATGCTTGTGAGTTAAAGGATCAGATTCACTTACTTTTTATGAAAAGTCGTTCTGACTGATGAACAGACTGAAGGAGAACCGATGTGGATGAAGGAAACCCCTAATCCAGGCAGGTGAGAGGGGAAGCACATCTTAGGGGGGATGGAGCCCAGAGCCCCATCTAGTGGGGTGGGGCAGCATCCAGGAGACCTGGAGAAGGACAGATGGTCAAGGTCATTGCTCAGGGTCTAGCTTGAGCTACTGGGGACACGTGATGGTTTATAAAAAGCTGGGAATACTAAAGCTGGAGGAGGCATGGGTGGGAAATCTCTGAACCCAGCTTTAGAAATGTCAGTGGCTGGTCCACGTGGAGAGGGAGTGGAGTCCATGGGCGTGGGGGTCAGCTGCACTAAAGAGCATTGGGAACTGAGGTGTGATGGGAAGCTGAGGGCCTGAGGTAGATGAACACATGGCAAAGGGTCTAATTGTCCAGGGAAGATGTGCAAAGGAGCATGGAAGAAAGCCTAGGACAGAAACCTGAAAACCTCTCATCCTTCCCATCTGGGTGGCAGGGGAGAGCCAGCAGAGAAACAAACAGAATCGTGGTTAAAAGGAAAACAAACAACAAACAAAACAAGAGTGATGTAACCAAAGCCACCAGAGAAGTAGCACGTGGTATTGAGCTCGCGGAGAGGGCGCTGGGTTGGGACTGGAAGCCTGCGCTGGGTTTAGGCAGTGTGGGGCGCGGGTCCTGGGGGAGGAAAAGTTAGGTGGAGGGGACTGCGTGGGGAATGGAGCCCAGGCGGCGGAGCAGCCCAAGGGTTGGGCTTTTCCTCCAGGCTGCCCCGCGTGATTGAGGGCAGGGTCCTCAGTCACTGAGCTCACAGCAGCGCGCGTGTAGCTGCGTCGGATCCATTCAGGGAAGCTCTCCTAGAAGCTGGCCGTGCCTCCAGACAGGCGCACGACCTTAACGAGGGTCCAGCTTTGCTTCCGCCTTTGGTGTGCCTAGAGAGTGAGGACACGGCCGTGGATCTCTGGTCTGTTTCCCAGGGGTGTATCCTTGGACAGGTTGCCTCACTCACTTGTGCCTCCGCTTCCTGGCAGGGAAATTAAAAATGAAATTCAAAATGAATTTCAGGGGATTGGATATCAATACACTTAAGGTGCTTCATGCTGGTGGTTTCATAGGTCGGCCCCTCCCCTTGTAGCTTTCCTGGTGCCATACAGAGCACAGCACACCCTTGGCACAAGTGAAGTTCCAATATTGGCCCCCCTCCCACATTTAAATTGTACAATAAAACAGAAACTACAATTAAGGGCTGATGTGTTCATTTTAAGCGACACAATGGAAAACAGGAAGCCCTAACGTCGAGGACACCAACCACCATCAGCCAAAGCAAAATGCCATATGCCAATTTTTATTTCTGAGAAATCTTTTAAGCAAAGTGTGAGGCATTTTTCTCCTGAATTAGAGAAAGAGTTACCTCTAAATTATTAGTTTCACTTAATTACATATTTTTTGGCTTAGTAATAAAACTAAGGAAATGACCTGGATCATTTGCTCTCTTAGTAGTTGTGTTGATAAAGGCTTTGCAGGGCTAAATCTTTTTCTTCACTGTGTGATATCAAACATGTAAGTCTCAATCCTGGGATTTGAAGTAAAAACATAATATATCTTTAGTCTGTTTTTTTTTTTAAATCTCAGCTTTAGTGAGATATAGTTAGTACATAACAACCGCACATCATTAATGTATACAATTTGGCCAGTCTGGACCTATGTATACACTTCTGCACTGTCACCACAATCACGCAATAAACATACTTATGCCTCCAAGAGTTTTCTTGTGTCTCATTGTTTTTTTGCTTGTTTAATGTGAGATCCACCCTGTTAACACAAATTGTAAGTATTAGCTCTGGGCACTATGCTGTACGGCAGGTCTTTGGAACCGACTCATCTCGCTTAACTGTAACTTTATGCCCATCGGACACTAACTCCCCACACCCCTCTTCCCCAGCCCCGCTGAACACCAACCTATTGTCCCCTCCCCTGACTATTCCAGAAGCCTCCTATAGAAGAATCAGGCAGTGTTTGTCCTTCTGTGACTGTCATTTACTTCAGCATCATGTATTTCAGGCCTAGCCTTGTTGAAAATGCAGGATTTCTTATTTTTCAAGACGGAATAATATCCCATGGTATGGATATACCACGTTTTCTTTATCCATCTATCTGTCAGCAAACATTTGGACAGCTTCCTTATCTTGGCTGTTGTGCACGATGCTGCAATACACATGGCAGTGCAGACGTCTCTTTGAGACCCTGATTTCAATTATTTTGGGTTTATTCCCATAAGTGGGATTGTCGGATCATAGGGTAGTTCCACTTTTACTTTTTGAGAGACCCTCATACTGTTTCCTATAGCGGCGACATCATTTTCCCATTCCTGCTGGCAGTGGCTGCCGTCATCATGCCGGCTGCAGCAGGGAGGCATGGCTGGGATTACAGACTCCAGAAGACCCAGCCTCCTGGGCGGGGCTACTACGCAGACTGCGGCTGTGGATCCAAGCCTCCTTGTGCTCTTCCAGCGGGCCAGGAGCAGGTAGGATCTGCCCTCCTGGGTGAGTGCAGCTGCAATCACCCAACATGTGGCTGCAGACCTAGGCCTCCTACTCCATGGAGCAAGCAGGCACCAGGGACAAGAAGGAACCCCGCCCTTCTGAGTTGGCAGGGCAGGGGGGAGCTCTACTGTGGCAGCCCGCCCAGGCTCAGGACCTGACCGTCTCTGCAGCCTGCACCCTCGGGGGCTGGGAAGGCCCTACCCCCTTTACAGCATCCATGCAGGCTCAGAGGTGTCTGCTCCCGCTGCCTGGCCTCTCTCTGATCCCGGTGCCGGCTCCAATCTCAGAGTGGGGTGGGGGCCGAGCCCTGGGGCCAAGAATGACAGTAGCAGTCAGATTAATTTCTGGGCAGAAGGGGGCGGGTCCCCAGTAAGGTCCCACCTTCAGGCCAGGGAGGGCCGGGCTGCCAGTCCTGCAGACTGGAGTGGGGATTCGTGGTGCCTCTTCCAGGTCTGCCCATGGCTGCCCATGGACCAACTGGCAGGCCCTTCCTCCCCTCTGAGGTCCACAAAATCCCCGGGCTCAGAGCCCAGGGCAGAGGATGACCAGAAGATGAGGAGGGCAGAGAGAGGACTGGATGACCAGCTGCAGAGAGGAGTACTCTCTCTGCTGACAGCTGGAGATGATGGGACGGCCAGCTGCAGAGAGGAATGCCTTCTCCACTGAGAGCTGCAGAGACAACCTGCTGGCAGAGAGAAGTTACTCTTTCTGCTGAGAGCTTCAGAGACCTGCAGAGGTGTCCAAATGACCTGCCAGCAGAGAGGAGCTATCCTCTGCAGAGCCACTCCAGAGAGCCGAACATTCCACCGGACGACCTGCCTACAGAGGGGAGCTACCCACTCCTCTGAGCTGTTCTAACACTAAACAGAACACCTCTTCTTCACCCTTCACTTGTCTGCATACCTCATTCTTCCTGGACGCAGGACAAGAACTCAGGCAAAGGCACCACGACCTCCGGGGTTTCCAGCCAGGAAAATCGACACCCCAGAGATCCCTGAACACCACTGAAAGTGTGCAAGGTTCCAGTGTGCAAGGTTCTCCACAGCCTCAGCAACACTTGTCATCTCTTTTTTTTTTTTATAATGATCATCTTGACATGTGTGAGGGGAAATCTCATTGTGGTTTTTTTATTTGCATCTCCCTGATGATTAGTGAAATTAAACATCTTTTCATATTCCCATTGGCCATTTCTATGTGTTCTTTGGAGAAATATCTATTTATGTCCTTTGCTCAGTTTTTAACTGGGTTGTTATCTTTTGTTTCTTATAATGAATGAGGTATGCTACACTTATTTTAGGTCTGTTTAAGATTTTATCTATAAAATATGGGATAGTTAGAATGAACTGAAATGTAAAAGAAATGTGGGAAGCTGATTTCTTCTTTCGTTAGCTGTATTTGACACCTAGAAATGTGAAAAAAAATTTCCTGTATATGTGAATTCCAGAAGCTCCTCTTGGTTATTTGTTCTTTTATTTATTATTATTATTATTTTTTTTATTTTTTTGAGACCGAGTTTTGCTCTTGTCATCCAGGCTAGAGTGCAATGGTGAACCTTGGCTCACTGCAACCTCTGCTTCCTGGATTCAAGCAATTCTCCTGCCTCTCGAGCAGCTGGGATTACAGGGATGTGCCACTATGCCCGGCTAATTTTGTATTTTTAGTAGAGATGAGGTGTCTCCATGTTGGTCAGGCTGGTCTTGAACTCCTGACCTCAGGTGATCCACCCGCCTGGGCCTCGTATCAAGACAGTTAAGTCTTGAATGTATTTGCACAGTTTAAGTTTTGTCAGTCCAGACAGAGGCTCTTTGGAGGGTCTACAGTGCCTCCTTTGGAAACCTGCACACCTAGGTCTTTACCTTCAACTCCGTCTACTGAACTGTATCCTGCAGAGGAACCGACTTCAGAATGAGTGAACTGCACCCAACAAGCACCATTGGATTGGAGGTATTCCCCTCAGGCCTGCAAGAAAGCAAAATATAGTATGCCACTTTATCTCTGAGAAAATTTTCAAGCAAGATGTGAGACATTTTTCTCCTGAATGAGAGAAAGAGTTATCTCTAAATTATTAGTTTCACTTACCCATACATTTTTTGGCTTAGTAATAAAACTAAGGCAATGACGTGGATTGTTTGTTCTCTTAATATAAGTATTCATAAAGGCTTTGCAGGGTGAAATCTTTTTCTTCACTATGTGATATCAAGGCATTTTCATTATTTACTGTAATGTGTAACAATAAATCCCTGAGTTGAATAGTCACTAAATGATGTGACTATTGTGACTGTACATTTGTCTTTTTTTATTTTACAAAATAAGAGTTATTATTGGAAAGATAACACATTTTACACAAAGGGAAACAATTTTTGTTAAAACCTACAATAATGGTATTAACCTGTAGTTAGTAGGTTAATACGTAGTCTTCTATTCAGAACTGCACAGAGATACATTTGATGTAATATTCTGAGGGAATTCCACTAACTCTTTCTATTTCACGTTGCCTGAGGTGGCTGCTAAGATTTCTGTCTACTCATCTATTCTGTGGCTCTCTTTCTAAGGGAAGTGATTGTTTTGACATGTGTAGTAATAGAATACCAAATCCTGTTTAATGCATTTTTAAATACTTTAGGACATTCTATTAGTAAGAAACTAGCATGAAATCAATCAAGGAGAGATCCTTTACCATCTTTCTTCAATTATGTTTTAGCAAAGGTAATTTAATTATGATGAGGAATGTTAGGATTTTAATAACCAGCACTCTAGGTATCATTTCTTACCTGCAAAGTATGGGGAAATAGCATAGGATGCACCAGTCATTTCTTTTTCCAAATTTAATTTTATTTGTGTTCTTTCAGTTCTCTTTTTAGCCACTTGACGTTAACTCACTTGGCCATTGGATATTGGCCCATGCTAATCAAAATACTTGTATACATATGAATTTTACTGAGAATTAAGTAACATTTTGAAAAATACAAAAAAGACAGACACAGAGTCTAAGTAAGTTCACCCTTCTCCTTCCTGTCCTTTTCACAATGGCCTCTACTAATTGCAAATTTTCCATGAAATTCTGTGTGCAGCTAGACTGTATGTGTGTCTAGATAGCCATCAGACATTCAGTTTTGACCAACTTTAAATATGCTCATGCACATTGTTCTATTTCAATAGTGAAATCATCGGTATCCTGTAGTCTGTTTCTCAAGAAAACAAATCTTTGGCATCATTTGTAGGTATGCCATGATTATAGGCATAAAAGTACATCAATCAGTCAATGTCAAGCTGTTTCACAATGATAAACTATTTCAGAGTATGCTATCGAACCCTCTTAATTACTGAATTTTATAAACAAAGTATTTGACGAGGATAACTCATTGTAATGCTGCATTTCATATAATAGTGTAAAACAAATTGAGCGTGACTGTTGGGAAAACATGTGTGACAGCTTGAAATATTAATCCAGGGTACCGAGCCGTGTGATTGATTAGAAAACAAGGAGGTGATGTTCTTGAATTACATTTTTTATGAAATGAATTATGTATAGAAAAATAGGTCATTTCTTATAACTAAAATACCACTTGTAATGACACATATTGATTTTATTCTTTAAAATTTCTACTTGACTGACTATTCTACGTATTGCAATTTACCACTGTTTGTCAGCTGATGCATTTAACCTTAAGTAACAGATTCGGTCTTAAAGTGGTCTTCTTTTGAAGAATTATTTTAGAAATAAAGTGGAGATTATTTTTGAACTTGTACTCTTTCTTATTGTACCCTTATTGTAAAATCAAATAATAATTTGTTTTTACATGTAGGTGCATACTCCAGTCAAACTATTAAAATCTGTACTTTTGTGGATCTGTAGCTTGCTGTGAGTTGCAGATAATTTCTTAGAATAAAGTACCCCACCACCTAGACTCCCACGGAGCTGTGTGCCGTGGAGTTACAGTGATACATATTCAAGATTAAAACATCTTTTCTACACACAGCAAGTTGTGTTCCCCACCTCCTGTGCTAGATCACTAGGGATTTAATTTCCTGAGGCTGGCTTCCTGTCTTTTCTCATCATTTTTCCTTTGCGATTTAAACTTTATTTTAAACTTTATTCCAGGCTCCCAACTTGAACTTGCTATCTACTGCTGGGAACAAGATGTCTGGGCATGTATGGAGGATCAGAATGATGGATGAGCCACGATCTGTTGGGAAAGTGGCTCCACAGTGTCTGGGGACGACGTGTCCCCCAGCAAACCAGCCTGTTAAGAACTTGGTCCAGGAACACCACTGTCATGCCATCAGGGTAAGGGCTTTGACGTCCAGGTGCTAGGTAGAGCCAGGACTGCAAGTTGAAAGGCTTTCACTCAAGGTCTCCTTCAGGATTGGGAGCACAAGGCAACCTTGCTCTATGACCAACAGAAAAGAGAAACCCAAAGGCTGCAGGGAAGCCCACCCCGGCAGCTACAGAGCACTTGCACCTGAAGTCTGTGAGTAGAATTTCGGAGGTCTGCAAACTTAGATGGGAAAAATTATATTCATATTTTTACTAATTGCAGCCTTAAATTTGCATTTCATTCTATTGTGACATGGGAAACAAATCTCAGTATTATATGCAGTATCTATTTATCTATCTATCTATCTATCACCTATCATGTATCTATCCATCTCTATCTAATTATCATCTATCTATATATCTATCTCTAATCTAGTTTACCATCTATCATGTATTTATCATCTATCTCTAATCTATCATCTAATCTAATCTAATCTATCATCTCTATCATTCATCTATCTATATTTTCTATCTATATCCATCCATCCATTTATATCTATCAATTATCTGTCTATTCTCATCATGTATTTGTCTATCCATCTATCTTTCTAATCTATCATTTACCTATCTATCCATCCATTTACATCTATCTATTTACCTATATGTCTATCAATCAATCAATTATCTATCTATTCCCATCATGTAGCTATCTATCCATCTATCTCTCTAATCTATCTATCATCTTTCTATATCTATCTCAATCCATCCATCCATCCATCCATTCATCTATATCTATCATCTATATCTATCTATCATCTATATCTAGCTATCTATCCTTCTATCTCTCTAATCTATCTATCATCTTTCTATATCTATCTCAATCCATCCATCCATCAATCCATTCATCTATATCTATCTATCATCTATATCTATCTATCATCTATATCTATCTATCTATCTGTATCTCTCTATCTATCTATTTATCTTTATGGTTTTATTCCTAATTGAAAACACAGGTGCATCTCTATCACATTACAACAGTTATAGATACTTCAAAATATTTGCGTTCATTGTTACTTTAAAGTTATGGTAGATATGACACTCAAAGAAAGATCTCCTATAATGTGTTAATAAAGATGCATGGGTACCACTATAAAATATTTGTTCTTTGTATTTACCTACCTGGATTTCACTATGGTTGGCTTCTTTTGTAAGCCTGTGGGTTTTGTTATATGTATATATAAACATTATTCATACACGAGGTAAATAAGCTTCAGCAGAACTTTCAGGGAGGTCATGTTATAAAAAGGTGGAGGACTCATCGGTATTTCCAGTACTAGAGCTCAGCTTTGTTAGCGTAGCTGCAGGTAATCTGGGACTGTGGTCAGCATCCTTTGCCACATTGGCATCATGGGTTTTTTATACCAGCAGTGGTTGGAAATAGCCCCTCTGGCTCGGGATATGGGAGCCAGGGGAAGCCCCTTTCTCTTCATTGGTGACACTCCATTGTAATCTTAATGGTTTGATAACTGATAACGTTTAGCCATAATCTAGTTTCTTGGTAACCCATATCAGCAAAAAGAGATAGGCCAGAAGACACAGCTAACATACGTCTTTTAAAGATTGGTGCTTTAGCATTCAGGAGACATTACTTGGGAAATTCAAGAAACATCTGCAGAAGAGGATCTAGCATAGAGCTGGAAGTCCAACAATAGTGAGAAAGGGCTTCACACAGTGAAGTAATAGGGTTAGTACAATAATATGTGGTATGATATCCAGTGTTGTCCACACCTCTGCTTTTTTTATATAATTGTAGTGGTAACATGGATTGCAGCTCACCTTCTGAACGACACCACTAGCAAGTTCCAATGTTAATACATTATCTTCAAAACAATTATTCTTAGAGGCTGCAATAATAATAAATGGAATTAATTTAACCATTCTTCTAATATGAAACATTTAGATTGATTTCCAGCTAAAAATGATGTTCTTAGGAAAACTTTTATACATATGGCACTGTATGCAAATTATAAAAATGTTTTCAAAAAATGTCTTAGGGAGACATTTTACCACCTTTGAGCAAAATTAATAGAGTCATTCCACTGATGATTGCTTTTAATAAACTTCATAGGTTTTCACTGACAAAAAAAAATTCTTGGCAGAAGAAATTCAAATCAAGAGGGTTATAAAAAAAGGGCATCCAAATTATATAAAACATCTTCTGCAGCTAACTACCAGTTAGCGGGGGAATAATCAATTCTTTTTGTGTTCTATACAAACACTCTTAAAAGATATTTGTCCTCATCCGTAATCTTACCCACTTACCAGAAAGCAACCAAGACCTCATGAAATTAACCTCTTCATTAGGGCTGAGAAGAAAAAAATCATATCTTTGGAGTGTTAGAATAGACTGAGTAATTGAGCAATTTCAAGGACATAAGGGGAACCTATGAAAAATGTAAGTGGAGAAGCTGGGGGAAGCAAGAGAAGAGGCAAAGAAAAAAGAAGTTTAGGAAATCAAAAATGTGAATTGTATAAGGGAAAATGTGTAATATTATAAAGATGTTAACAAGAGCGAATGTGATGGATGCTAGGGGTCCTGATAATAGACCCTATTAATAGAATTAGAGGGGCTGCAATATGCTTCCTTATTCTTTTTAATTATTCATTTCTTCGCAGATCAATGGGGCTGTGGATAGGACTGTCACTTCCTCTTGAAATCTTAGATAATGGAAGACACTGACCAAGCTAGAGAAGCTAAAATGTCATGAGGCAAGCTCCTATTACAAAGTGTTAGGCTAGGGCAGGGTGTTAGGCTGAGCTTGGGCAGGGTGCAGCCTCCCTGGAGGAGTAAAGCCCAAGCCAGGTGCCAGGAGCCTAGAGGGGCTGCATCAGGCACAGCACCGGGGTGCAGGGGGATGACAGGTGCCAGTGGGGAGCTACGGTCAGGAGAGACAGGTAAAACCTGGTGACAGGGCTCAAAGGCCAGCTCTTCATGATGGTTGGCTCTTAACATGAGGGCAATGAGCAGCCAAGGAAGGGATTTCAGCAGAGAGATAGATTTAGATCTTAGAAATGTCATTCTTGATACTGCAGCATGGCTAATGCATGAAACGAGAGCAAGAATGGTGTAAGAGGAGCTCCTCAGCAGTCTGTGCTGGCTATCAGCTGTGGGTGCAGAGACAGCCCTGGGGCAGTGGCACAGGCTGGAGAAGCCCCACAGTCAAGAGCTTCAGAAAGTGGCCAAATCCAGAGGACTGATGTGGACTGACATGAGGGTAGGCCTGGTGTGCTCCTGTTTGATAACCAGCTTTGTGGGGCTGGAGAGAAGCCGTGTTTGTAGTTTTCCTGGTGTCTGTTCCCCAGCAAGGCTAATTCAAGCTCTCAGCAGAGGCTGGAAGTTCAACTCTCTGCCCCATCCTGCCAATCCTACTGCAAGGAATCAGAGTAGCCACCCACAAACTTACACTCACGGCGATGAGTCCCCCCGCCGCTGAAATCACGGATGTGGGGAGCACTTGTTTCTTTGGTGTTTTACTGGAGTAGGATGGGACTTGCCAACAAATTTTCCTGCAGCTGGAAGCTGTTTTCGTGGTACTTTGGTCAGGGGCAGGCTGTGTGGAGCTTTGTGTCTGGCTCTGCTGGTGGCCCTGGCTTGTGGGCTCTGCAGTGCCCTGCCTGGGGTGTGCAGGAGGCCATGGGGAAGCTAGAAATCAAGGGCACGTCTGGCCTTGAGTACCAAGGCCCCTGGCCTCCTGCCTTCTTCCCACTTTTCAGAGTGTCCCTCAGTGTGGCTGTGTGCAGGAATTCTCCATGTAAATGGGGGCCCTGGGAAGAATGGGGCTACTCACCTTTGGTGGAACTGCAAGTTTCTTCTATGGATTTTAAATTAAGGGGAGACAGGATCAGCAAGGACAAAGGCCAGAGAGGAGACAGAAGGGTCACAGGTTCCCCTGAAATACCCTCTACTGTGGGGAGGGGAAGAAGGTGAGCTGACCAGAGAATTGCAGGATACCAGGACAGGGGGTCAGCTGAACCTGAGGACCACAGGTGATCTAAGACCCCACGCTTTGCGGGAACATTTTGTCCCACCAGGCATTTTAGCAAAGAACATTCTGATGCTTTAGTCCAGTACTGGAGTCCTGCTAGATGTGAGTGATGTGAGGTCAATCAATGGAGCTGGAAATATTTGAGAATAGCCACATCTGAATTTTCAGAGGCAAACCTTTCCAATAATTAGAATGATACATACTAATCTTTTCTTGAAGAGGATATTGACAAGTAGAGCCTTGATTTGATGTTCTGCAGTCACAGTATTTGAAGCACGTGAGATCTGTTGGAACTCATGTTGAGAAAATGACTGTTAAATATGGAAAAGCAGCAATTTGGGATAATGGAAAGGAGTCAAGCTTGAGGAAAGCAGAAATCCTAACCCACTCTCTCTGTTTCACCCAGTGTTAGCAGGAGGCTGAGCTGGACCCAGCGGCTCGGTGACCAGGCTTTTACATTATTCAGCAGTGCAGAGGCGGTGAGGAGCTTTACTCTGTATGTCTGCTGTTTTTCTGGGCAGCCCTTGGGTTTCAGGCTGATTGCATTACCCTCTGTCTGTCTCACAGGCATTTTAAATATTTGTTGACTTGGATTCCACAGAATGAAACTACACTGGGCTCCTGGGGAATTTTCCCAGGATTGAAACAGAAGACACAGGGAGGAGCACTTCTGATGTGGTTTGGCTGTGTCCCCACTCAAATCTTATCTTGATCTGTAGCTCCTATAATCCCCGTGTGTCATGGGAGGGACCTGGTGGGAGGTAATTGAATCACGAGGGCAGGTCTTTCCATTGGTGTTCTTGTGATAGTGAATATGTCTCAAGAGATCTGATGGTTTTATAAAGGGCAGTTCCCCTGCACATGCCCTCTTGCCTGCCGCCATGTAAGGCATGACTTTGCTCCTCCTTTGCCTCCCACCATGATTGTGAGGCCTCCCCAGCCATGCGGAACTGTGAGTCAATTAAACCTCCTTTCTTTATACATTACGCAGTCTTGGGTATGTCTTTATTAGCAGTATGAGAACAGACTAATACAACATCTCAGGTTTGACCATAGTGGGACATATTTTTGAAAGACGTGAAAGTACAAAGAAACTAAAGGCAGGCAGATAGCCTCTAAATTCTTGGGCATACCATTTACACTCCATTGACATCTTGGTTTCTTTCTAAGGACTGCACTATAATATCCCTACAATCATTAAAGCAAAAAGCAGGCTTCCTCGATCTTTCACAAAACGATCTTGCCTTTGTCAATCTTAGCTTTTGTTTCTAGGACACTAGATCAGTCACCCATTTTTAAAGAATCAATTGGTTATTTTCTAAAAATAAGCATATTAAAAAATTCCAACTATTAAAATTGCTAAAAATTCACTTTGAGGTACTAGTCTATTTACTTAAACACTTTTTAGGAAAAGTAGGTCTTAAATTTCATATGAAATAACTGACATTTTGCATGCAGAAAAGTGAGAAAAACTCTTGTGATGAATACTTCTAACTTCCCAGAGACGTGGAGCAGGAGGGCTAAGCAGTTTCATGATTAGTGAATCCAAAGGATGATGCTCAAGGGAGAAACCTGAAGTCAGATCCAAAAGGGGAGTGACTTTCCGCCACTGGGGAGGTGAGCAGTAAGTTCTTGCATCCCTCTCCATAGGCATGGGCCACTTAGCACTTTCTGCATTCATGATGATGTGACAAGGTTAACTGGGAGCCACAATTCAGACATACCCAGAACATGTGGAAACAGAAACTTTATCAGGCAAAGGGCCATCAGCCAGGCTCCGAATAGGATGGAACTGTTTTTTCTGTGGTGAAACCAAGTGTCATGCTAGTTTCCTATTGACTTTAATAGCGATGGCGCCATGTTTGAGAGGCCACAGAAGAGACTTGGAGCCAGCAAACGAGACACAGGGTTTATTTGAGGGGACTTTCATACAGGGCGAGCCAGTGGTAGTGGAATGGACAGGAAAACTATGATCCTTTGTAAAAAGCATGTAATTTATACAGCACTTTCACTTAGCACTCTCCTCCCAGCAACCTCCATGTGGCAACCCCCATTTCTTAAGTTATTGCTGTCAGGTGCATCTGCTGTACACTGAGAAACTCATTTCTTGGCATGCAGAAGAAAATAAACACTGGTAGGATATCCAAAGTGCCTCCAAATAAAGCTTCCTGCTATGAGTCTGAAATTTCCATTTTCAAGCACCCAAACAATTGGTAACTAATTTAATTCTGACAAAGAACAAGCTCTGACCTACAGTAAACAGTCATTGTGTTTGAGCTTCATGGGAAAGCTCTTTCAGTTACCATAAGGTCAGTCAACTCACTTTTGCCAGAAAAATAATTACTTGGAAAACTGTTTCACCAAATAACATCTGGCCTTCATGGACACTAATGCATTGTGTTTTTCAGTGAACTTCAATGTGGGCCAAGAATATTTTGAAATATTTAGAAAAATGTATTAAAAGATTCATGTGAAATTTCTGGTTTTCTGGACAAATAGAAATTAGGCCTTTGAGTCCTTGAATTTCTGACTGGTTATATGTGGATGCGGCACTTAATTAACAAAAAATGAGCATACGACCTATTGACTACATGAAAGTCCCATCATAATTAGCACAGAAAATGCAGGTTTAGGCTGGACAAAGGGGCTCACACCTGTGATCCCAGCACTTTGGGAGGCCAAGGCGGGTGGATCACTTGAGGTTAGGAGTTTGAGACCAGCCTGGCCAACATGACATAACCCCATCTCTACTAAAAATACAAAAATTAGCCAGGCGTGGTGGTGCATGTCTGTAATTCCAGCTACTTGAGAGGCTGAGGCACGAGAATCACTCGAACCTGGGAGGCAGAGGTTGCAGTGAGCTGAGATCGAGACTGTCTCAAAAAAAAATGCAGGTTTAATCATTTCCATCTAGGGTGCACATCACTGGAATTCTAGGGAGATATTACCCTACACACCTACCTCTACTTCATAAAATGCACTTGTCACCTGTGGGTTCAACCCTCAGTGCTAATGAAAATCCAGTGCAAATGAAGCAAACAAGCTATGGTAAAGGCGATAGGATCAAATTGGTTTCTTTTTTATATTTTTCTAAGCTTCTATACAGATTACTTTGAGTTAAAATGGTAGAGTTAACAGAAATGCTGAAAATTTCCTCTCCCCAATTGTTTGTGCAATCTTCAGAAACTGTCAGAGGAAAATAAATTTTTAGCAACTGCAGTAAAAATGCAGAAAACAAAAATGCTTCAAATTATCAGAAATTGCACAATCTAGTTTCCCACTGCAGATTAAGAACGAGGCCGTCAGTAAGCAGAAAATCATTACTTCTTGCAATTCACCTAAGGAATTGAAGTTTCTCCCACATCTTATCTACCCCGGAGCATTTTCAACTTTCATCTCCATTTGCAGCAAATCTCTGCTTGCAGTGAGCAGAATTCTGCACTGCACTCACCGTGGAGGGTACCTGGGTCCTGGCTATTCTCATCGACCTGCCTGACATTTCCCACAGGGCCAGCTGGAGGTTTGTGCTGGAGCTCAGGGAGTGAATCTACTTCCACCTGCAAGCTGCAGTGAGGGATGGGTGGAGCATTGGGTGGAGCAGGAGAGAAGGAGCCGGCCCTCTGTGGGCCAGAGGAACAAGACATAATATCAAATATCTTCTTTCTGCCTTGATGCGACCATTTACTGTGGTTTTGTCACGTGCTAGGCACTGACCTGAGTCCTTCACACACATTATATCATTTTGTCTCTTCCATGGGCTTTTGAAGTAAGAGCTATTCTCATCCCATCAAGCTGAAATCCAAATTCAAGTTGTCTGATTTCACTATGAGGCCCTGACTGAGAGAGAACATCCTAAGGGAGAGGTTTTACTGAAACAGAAAGGAGAGGCACCAAATTCTAATCCACCTTCGACACCCCTATAGCAAATTTGACTGGAATGCAAGAATAATTTGTTATTAGATAAAACAATGCTATAGATCATTGCATTGGAAAATTAAAGGGGAAAATATTATAGTTACTATATACCTATCAGTGGCCAAAAAGCATAGGCTACTATTCAGCCTTTCATTTCTAATACAAACGCTAGATAAAACAGGAGCAGCTGAAGCTCGTCTAAGCAGGGTAAAGACTGAAAAGTCAACAGTGAACATCAAGTTCAATCAGCGCTCTCAACTTTGGCTGCTCATTCGAGCCACCTGCAGATCCTTGAAATTCCCAAGGTCACACAGCACACCAATTGCATCAGAATCTGTGGGGGCAAGAGCCAGGCATCAGTATTTATTTTAAAGTTCCTCAGATGATTCCAATTTGCAGCCAGTATTGGAAAGCGCTGGGTTAAATTGGGCTTTCCCAGCCCAATTTAGCGCCGCTTTTCCCATCAGGAGATGCGGTGGGGTGGAACATGCTGGGATGTCTCTCTGGTTTGGTTTGAAGGCTGGCTCCAAGGGTACAGGTGTTACCGGTGGGGGGTGTTCAGGTTCTTGGAGTCTTGGACAAGAGTTGGACAAAACGCACAAAGAAAGAAAGAAAAGAATAAAGCAACAAAGCAGAGATTTACTGAAAATGAAAGTACACTCCACAGTGTGGAAGTTGACCCAAGCAAGCAGATTAAAAGCCAAGTTACAGAATTTTCTGGGGTTTGAAAACCCTCTAGAGGTTGCCCATTGGTTACTTGGTTTACACCCTATGTAAATGAAGTAGTGGCCTACAATCAGTCTGATTGGTTGTGGGAGGGGACCAATCAGAGGCTGAAGTGAAGTTACAAAGTTATACTCCTATGCAAATGAAGACTTGGCCTGGGACCAGCCTGATTGATTGCAGGAGGGGACCAATCAGAGGTACTTTCATTTTTACATCTGCCACACAGAAAAGGGGAGGGGGGCATTGTAAAGGGAGTAGCCTCTGGTCCTTTCCACTTGGGGATGGAAAGTTGGGGTTTTCGTTTTGATTTAGTTCTAGGAAGTCAGTGTGAATCGTAAATCAGCCTCAGGTTCGCCGCCTCCAGACCCTATTCTCCTGCCTCACAGAGAGGGCAACTCCCAGGCTGAGCAGCTGCCAGAGCTCAGCAGTGGGTGGCTGATCATGCTCAGCCTCCGGGAGAAGAAAGAGTACACCTAGAAGAGGGGAGGAGAAAGCTTTTCTCCTCCCTGAGATGGGGAAGAGTGGGGCTGGGCGGGGTCTCAGCTCCCGACAAGGCTGTGAGGCCATCCTGGGCACGTGGCCCTGGACTGTCCCAGGGGAAGCCCCTCTCCACTTCCCCCAATCCCTTCCCAAGCCAAGCCCAGCAGCCAGGAGCCATTAGGGGTTAGAGGAAGACTGCAGAAAAGGCCAAAGGTGCATCTGGTAGTTTGCCTTGCGAGCCCACACGGGTGGGTGAAGAAATTCACTGGGTACTGTGCTGAGGGCAAAAAGTCAGGAGTTTTTAAGTTCTAGGAAAGCGGAGTTTATGTTGGTTGTGCCCTCTAAACAGTAAAGGGTCCTCTGGATATGTAGGGCCGAGTCCACGGCTCTGCTCACACTTGGATACTCAGTCTCATTCCTCCCTGGCCAGCAGGAGCTTTCTGTTGGGTCCAGTTAGGGTCTGAGGCGCCTGGGTCCCACAAACTAGATGGCCATAGGGACGTCCGGATTCAACCTGCTCCAATTCAGCAGCTGCGGCGAAAATAACATCCAGTCGTGTTTTCTCCCAGGTTCTACTCTGAGTGGGTAAGCGCCCTGTGCACACCCCGCAGGCTGGGAAGGCGTCCGCGCCAGCACCGAGCCCTCGGCTCCTGGGCTACTCTTCTGCCACCTTCAGCTCTGGGCCGAAAATAATTAAAAATCAATACTTCAGATCAAGGAAACCGTGTTTTCTCATTTTATCACTGCAATTTCTTTAACACCGGCACGGATACATCCATATGTGCATTTGAGATTTTCAGATGTTTTCTAATCATTGGGTTGGGAAGATGATATTTCTCTGCAAAGCTTAGTCATGTAACCCAAAGTATTAGCCAATAAATAGCTGTAAATCCAGCTTCATTCTTAATCTAGTTCAAGGTAGGACATCAGTATGACTGCCAACGCCAAGGAGCTGAAGTTAATTCAAAATAAAACCATCTTGTGCTGAGAACCAGCTTTCCTAATAAAACATCAAGAGTTAGCATGGCCATTTATGGGGACCTTTATGTATGTTGTTGACTGTTTTACAGGTGAGGAAACCGAATGTTACAGCGGGTGGGTGGATTAACTAGCCTAAGTGCTATTTCACTAGAGGAAACTCAGCACTTTGCCTCTTAGAATCATGTTTTCAAACTTGAACATCGGTTGAGGAAGAGAATATTCCTCTTGCGGAGGTGGGTGTGCAGGTGAGAAGGGTCCTTGGTGGATGCAGTCACTCCAGGAAGGAAGGGACAGGAAGAATCATGCCACGAGGAAACCGAGCTCTGCACTCTGTGTTTTGCATTTTCCACAAAATCGTACAGAACCATTCACCTTCGCAGGTGCTGCACCCCCTACCCCTTCCCCCTTCCCCCTTCCACGAGAGGGGCTGCACCCACCGAGAAAACCGGGGCTGGGGGAGCTGCTCATATTGGCCCACTTGTTTATCGTGAGGGTTAAAAAGATGAGGCCAGGCTCGGTGGCTCATGCGTGTAATCCCAGCACTTTGGTAGGCCAAGGCAGGCGGATCACTTGAGGTCAGGAGTGCGAGACCAGCCTGGCCAACATGGCGAAATCCCCTCTCTACTAAAAATACAAAAATTAGTTGGATGTGGTGGCAAGCAGCTGTAATCCCAGCTACTCGGAGGCCGAGGCAGGAGAATCGCTTGAATCAGGGAGGCGGAGGTTGCAGTGAGCCGAGATCGTGCCACTGCATTCCAGCCTGGGCGACAAGAACAAAATGCCATCTTAAAAAAAAAAAAAAAAAAAAAAAAAAAAAAAAAAAAAGATAACCAGGAGGAGCCTGATTATAATTAGGTCACTCATTGGTTCCTTCCCTCTCTCTTTTCTTCCCCACTCTCCTTCCCAGGCCCCACTCGCCAAGTACACACTGAAGCCTCACCATTGTGCTCCCGTCAAAGCCCTGGTTTCCTCCATGGGAGCTGGCCCTTCAGGACCTCTCAGCTGTGCTCCTGTGGGGTCTGGCAGGTATTCCCAAGTTCTGAAACCTGAACACCTCCTTTCTTAAATTCAGATAAATCTAAGACATGAGGTAGCTGGGCCCTACTTCTTATTTTTCAGTCCTCTCTATTTACAATTGTGATTGCATGTTTAGTTTCCATTATGCAAACGGGTGTACTTCTGAACTCTTCATTGTTGTAATAATTTCTTATTCGATCCTCTTAGATTTTTAAGTGGAGAATCATGGTGGCTGTGAATAATAATTGTCTCTTTCCAGCGACTGTAAGCTCTGACTTATGTTTCCATAATCTGTCTATATTTGTTTGAATTTCCAGAGTAATATTACTAAATATTTGCCATTTATGAAATTTGCATGTTTTTCTTGACATTGATGGGAATATATGTCATGTAGTATGTTGGAAACTATGTTCTGTAGTGCACTGGTGTGCCCCAAATAAAAAAATGTGTTATTTTTCCGGAAAATAATAATTTAAAAAGGTATGAAGTGAAATATTCAATATATCAATCTATGATATATGGTTTATAAAATATGTATAATATTTTTGTCAAATTTATTGAGATAGAATTTAGAGACAGAATTCACCCTTTTTAAGTTGATAAAAGCTGAAGGACTTTGCACATGCGTGTGGCGGGCATGCAGTCTTGCAACCAAGATCCTGACCATGTCCGTTACCCCCAAGTCCCCTCAGACCCCACCACTGCCCACCCACAAGCCTGACACTCACTGGTCTGCTTGCTGTCCGATGTTGTTGTCTTACCTAGAATACTCTATGGGAAGAATAATTCTATTTGGTCTTTGTCTTCCTTCACTTAGCTCTATGACCTTGAGAACCATCCGTATTGCTGCAGATCAGGTCCATGGCATGGGTTATCACAGGTTGTTTATCCAGTCACCTGTTCTGGTTGCACTGGGTTTTTGACCATATAAGCGAAGCTGCTATATAATAATTATGTGGACACATGTTTTCATTTTTCTTAGATGAATGCTGAGCCTTGAGATGGCTGGATCATACTCTAAACACATGTTTAACTTGATAAAGAACTGCTCATCTTTTCCTTTTCCTTTCCACATTGCCAGGAAAAGGGGCTGGGCTCTCCAGCCGCCTCCCGTTCTCACACTCACATGCCTGCCTTGTGACTTTAGATGACCTCCCTTTGTTCACTGGTGCTGTTGGGCCCCTTTTTCTGTCTTTGTTGGCTATTCCTAGATCTTCTCTGTTAAAATGTCTGTTCAAATATTTTGTCCATTTATGTTGTGTTGTTGGTCATATTTTTGGATTATAACAATTCTTTGCATAATTTGGACTTAAGATCTTTATTAGAATGGAGTTTATAACTATCTTATCCCAGTCTGTAATTTATCTTTCTATGTAGTTATTTAATTTTTATTAAGAAATATTTTAAGTATACAGAAAAGTATAGATAATTGTCTAGCAGGAATCTGTTAATGTGTGTTTTACAATGTTCCATTTCTCTGTCTCACTACATGCCAGTTTCCCACTTTCAGTAGAATAAAAAGAAACATCAACAAACCTATATATGCAATTGTGATTTTTCTCAAGTTTTTATTTACTTGGATGACTTTTTAGATAATGCCATACTCTTTTCTTTGGTACATAAGCATTATACATTTTACAATATTATTAATCATTTCCTTTATTAATCAACACAAATCCTGCATGTTTGCCATACTTTTAATGCTTTCAAATTGAATTTTTTTGTTTTTTCTTATTATTTCCCCACTCATAAATGCATCAGAAATTTCAGGACATAGAATTCTTGGTTCTAAAAATTATCCTTATAAATATACCACTTTGAAAACACTGACAAAAAATACTAAAATAAATGTAGCACTGCAAATGTGAAATCTCAGATCAGCCTGGTTGTTTTGATGTAACTTTTTACTTTGTAGTTTACCTTATTTTTTCTATATTAAAAAACCTTTAATATAATAGATTCAGCATTTGAGGAAAGATAAGCACTCAATGAAATTACAGAAGTAATTGGCAGCCTCTATGGGTTAAAGCTGGATTCTACTTTATGGAATTCATAAAAGCTAATTTCAGACGAATTACAAACCTATTTATGAAGAAAAACACAAAATACTTATTATTTTAGTTATTTATTTATAAATTAATATTAGGTGACAAATAATTTATGGCATTTATGGGGTACAATGTGATATTTTGATATTGTTTTTCTATCATTATAATATTAAGTTCAAGAATTTCATCAAGATATGCCACTGTGAGTTTCTTTGTTCATTAATTTATTTCTGGTTCTCTGTGACTTCTTTGAATTTACAATCTCAACATTTTCTTCATTTAGGTGGATTTTACTCTATGTTTTCCATGACTATTGTTTCTTTTTTGTAGGTTCTATTCCATTCAATATTTGGCTTTAATTTTATGTTTAATGTGTCTTTTGAAATTTGTCATTTGATAGTCATGTTTTTCACTCTTGGGTAGATTTTAATAACCCCTTTATACATCACCAACTCCCTTTCCATGAGCCCTTGACTTTGTTTCATCAATGTTGTCTCCAATTGAATGTTGCTGAAAGCACAGATTTGAAATTTCCAAAATGTACCTCGTGTTCTTACAGTGATCACATTCACAGAAAAAATATTGTTCTGACTACAGTGATCACATCACAGAAAAAATATTGTTCTGACTTCTCAGTCCAGATTCTCCTGCTGGCTGCCGTATCTTCTCATCTCCCCTGCAATTCTTCTGTGTGCTCGGGGACACTTGTAGTTTTCCTGTCCTGTGAGTTGAGGTCCGTTACATCCCATAACATGTGTGTCCCCATTCACATCTTTCCAGCTCTCTGAAAATCGCCGGGAAAGTTGGGATTGCCCCGCAGCGTGGGGGTGATGCCGCTGCAGCGCAGGCTGGGACAGAGAGCAGCCCGGATGCGCGGAGCAGACTTGGACTTCAGAGCACCTTCGCTGAAGCCGAGTGCTGCTGTGCCAGGTTTGTGGCGGTCATGGTGGAAAGTGGTGAGTGCCTCGGGATGGGTGCTCCTGCGGTCAGAATCCTGTGGTCAGAATCCTGAAGCACCCCCCACAGGGGCTGGTGGGATCCAGGTGTGCCCCTCGCTGGCCTGTGGTCGACTTACCTTTAGCCTTTCCTCTCCTTGGACACAAACAGCTTTGTCCAAGCTTTCACGTCCACCTTCAGGAGGGCTATTCCTGTCGTGTGGACCAGGCTGGACTGTTTGCGCCTGGGTTCTGTCTGCCTTAGGACCAGGAGAAATGCCTGGAAATTTCTGGAGTGGGAAGACTCCATCGTAGATCTCGGGGCTATTGCATCTTTTTCATTATGAAATATTTGGTCATTTCGGTGGGAATCAAGTAGAAAACAGTTAAATTCTGGTTTCTCTTCCCCATTTGCTCTTAAATCCTCTTTACCAGGTGACTTGTCTAAAAGCCATTTAAATAGGACCTTTACTTCTTGATTAGATGGGCTCCAATGCTGATAAAAGAATGCACATGCCATAATCTTAAAATAGAAAATATTTAATGATAGGAATCTATGTGTGGCCATCTGAATCAGATTTAATTATCAACTATTTAAGCTACTGTGTTAGTCCATTCTCATGCTGCTAATAGAGACATACCCGAGATTGGGTAATTTATAAAGGAAAGAGGTTTAATGGACTCACAGCTCCACATGGCTGGGGAGGCCTCACAATCATGGCGGAAGGTGCAGGAGGAGCAAAGGCATGCCTTACATGGCAGCAGGCAAGAGAGAAGTGCAGAGCAAAAGGGGGAAAAGCCCCCTATAAAACCCTCAGATCTCACGAGAACTCACCCACTATCATGAGAACAGCTTGGGGTAACTGCCCCCACGATTCAGTTACCTCCCACTGAGTCCCTTGTACACACATGGGGATTATGGGAACTACAATTCAAGATGAGATTTGGATGGGAATATAGCCCAAACCATGTCACCTTTATTTTCAAAGTGTATTCTAATCTCTGATTGTTTTAAAAAAGACCTCTTAATATCCATGGCTAAAGCAAGTTTTGATATTGCATCTCTTAAACTATGAAATGTTTGGAAACACAGATGCAGTTACAAAGCTGTAGAAACATTGCTATTCCCATCCATCCTTAATGTTCAGTGTGTCTCTGCCCTAAGCAGGAAGCTCAGAAATCTCCGAGCCTTCAAATAAGAGGTGGTAGTTTTCCTCTGCGTGTAGCATATTTTATATTTAGTCCATGCATACCAGTATCTCTTGATTATAAAGTGACAAAGAGCAGTGGGGTAATAAAAACATCTCAGAGTTGTTAATATTGAGAAACAAATGGGAGCCAAAGCCGTCCACATGCAAAGTGCTTGTTCCAGCATCTGGCCTTTGGTAAATTAGAACCAGTCAGTTGTTGTATAACTGGTCCCAGTGGCTTTGTACAAATCATATGCATTTATGTAACCCAGAGTATCATGATAATGTGGTCATTTCTATTTGTTCATAATGTTCTATTTATTCTAACTATACCATGTAAGGCATACTGTGTTCCCTGAGATACTTTTGTTATCCCCACTTAATAAGAGAAGTAAAATGAAGCTCAGAGAAGTTATGTCACCGGTACAGGATGAAGCTGACTTGCAGCCAAGGCTTCGCCTCCAGCACCATGGCCCTAGATGTGGTGGCCTCACCTTATTGACTGAGTTGCTTTCCCTGATCTATGAAGATACATAGTGAGCCAGTGAGAGCTTAAAAAAACTGTGAGCCAATTTTGCAAGCACCTCTGGCAAGATGTCGTGGTGGTCTAGAGGGGCTGTCACACAATGCAGCTGGAGGAAGGTGAGGGTATACCTCGGCCGTCCTCATCGTCCCTCCTTCTTTCTTGTCCTGGTGCCCAGGGATTGCTGTAGTAACAGTACAGGTCCCTCTGGAATCCCGGGGGAACCGAATATTGGTAAACGAAGAGGTGATGTGGCTGGTGGAGAAGAGGATATGGAGATGGCATAACACAAGCCCCATGGACCCCCAGCTCCAGGCTGAGCCTGTGTGGACCACAGCACTGTGATCCAGGTGTCCTCCTGCCTCCTGCCATCTTTTGGATTGTTTGGAAGCTCAATTCAAATTATTCACGAAAACTCAAATATTTGTTTCCTATTAAAAAAAAAAGTCTTCTTTTTAAAACAAACTCTGAGATTGACCAAGGCACACAGATGCCCTGGAGCTTCCTCCCCAACTCCACTGGGCTATTCTCTCCCTTGCAGTTCAGCTGCTGCTTCCTTCCATGCCAAAGAGCATCCCCATCTCCAACTCGTCCTTTCTCCTTTGTGCATTAAAACAACTTGAGATCCTCAGAATGGACTGCTCCCCAAACTAAAACAAAAAAATGCAAGCATAATAAAATGCATAGAAAGGCATGGAATCAAACTTGAAATATGCAAGGTTTGGGCATTCCATTATTTATGAGCATGAAGGCCTTTCACAAATCAAAATCTCTTTTAAATTGAAAGTGCCTTTCTTCCTCTCCCCCTCCTTCCCTCCTTTCCTCCCACCCTCAATCCCTTCCCTTCTTTCTCTCCCTTTTTTTCTCACCTTCTCAACTTCTATCTTTCTTAAGATAAGAGGTTCGTGTGATGCTCCTATTTATGTGGCTTTCTTTAAAAATGAGAAGAGGAGGAGCCAGGCTACACCAAGGAAATACTCAACCCCATGCTTCTGCAGGTGTCAACCTAGAAGGCACCAATCCAGGTGGAAGAGGTTCTCTCTCCTGCCCTACTGTCTTTGCCAGGGGTGGTGTTGAGAGCCATTTCTGCAGATACCCCGCACCCCGGCCGCCCATTCTCAGTGATACAGTCAGACATAAGCATCTGGGGGTGAAAACGCACCCAACACAGAGCTGGGTTTCTGGAGTCACCTTCTGGGGTTGGACTTTGCCTTTGGGAGAGGCCCTGAATGTCTCCAAGCATTCCCACATGTCATGGGAATTATGGGGGCTAAAATTCAAGATGAGATTTGGATGGGGACACAGCCAAACCATATCATTCCACCCCTGGGCCCTCCCAAACCTTATGTCCTCACATTTCAAAACCAATCATGCCTTCCCAACATTCCCCCAAAGTCTTATTAGGGCATTAACTCAAAAGTCCATAGTCCAAAGTCTCATCTGAGACAAGGCAAGTCCCTTCTGCATATGAGCCTGTAAAACCAAAAGCAAGTTATTTACTTCCTAGATACAATGAGAGTACAGGTGGTGGGTAAATACACCCATTCCAAATGGGAGAAATTGGCCAAAACAAAGGAGTTACAGGCCCCATATAAATTCAAAATCCAACTGGGCAGCCAAATCTTAAAGTTGTGAAATAATCTCCTTTGACTCCATGTCTCACATCCAGATCATGTTGATGCAAGAGATGGGCTCCCATGGCTTTGGGGAGCTCTGCCTCTGTGGCTTTGCAGGGTACAGCTTCCCACTTGGCTGCTTTCACAGCTGATGTTGAGCACCTGTGGTTTTTCCAGGTGCACGATGCAAGCTGTCAGTGGATCTACAATTCTGGGATCTGGAGAACGATGGCCCTCTTCTCACAGCTCCACTAGGCAGTGTCCCAGGGGAGACTCTGTGTGGGGGATCTAACCCCACATTTCTTTTCTGCACTGCCCTAGTAGATGTTCTCCATGAGGACCCACCCTCTAGCAAACTTCTGTCTGGACATTCAGGCATTTGCATACATCTTCTGAAAGGTAGGTGGAGGTTCCCAAACCTCAATTTTTGACCCAAATGCACCTGCAGGCCCAACACCACATGTAAGCTGCCAAGGCTTGGGGCTTGCACCCCCTGAATCAAAAGCCTGAGCTGTACATAGGCCCCTTTTAGCCATGGCTGGAGCTGAAGCAGCTGGGATGCAGGTCTCCATGTCTAGGCTGCATAGTGCAGGGAGTCTTGATCTTGATCCAGGAAACCATTTTTTTTCCTTCTAGGCCTCCTGGCTTGTGTTGGGAGGGGCTGCTGTGAAGACCCCTGACATGTCCTGGAGACATTTTCCCCATTGCTTTGGTGTTTAACATTAGGCTTCTCATTACTTATGCAAGTTTCTGCAGCTCGCTTGGATTTCTCCTCAGAATTTTTTTTTCTATCATATTGTTGGGCTGCAAATTTCCAGAATTTTGTGTTCTGCTTCCCTTTTAAACATAAATTCCAAATCCAAACCATATCTTTGAGAATACATAAAACTGAATGCCTTTAACAGTACTCAAGTCACCTCTTGAACACTTTGCTGCTTAGAAATTTCTTCTGCTAGATGCCTTAAATCAACTCCCTCAAGTTCAAAGTTCCACAGATCTCTAGGGCAGGGGCAAAATGTGACATCTCTTTACTAAAACAAAGCAGGAGTCATCTTTGCTCCAGTTCCCAACAAGTTCGTCATCTCTATCTGAGACCACCGCAGCCTGGACTTTATTGTCCATGTCGCTATCAGCATTTTGGTCAAAGCCATTCAACAAATCTCTAGGAAGCTCCAAACTTCCCCACATTTTCCTGTCTTCTTCTAAACCCTCCAAACTGTTCCAGCCTCTGCCTGTTACCCAGTTCCAAAGTCATTTCCACATTTTCAAGTATCTTTACAGCAGCACCCCACTCTACTGGTACCAATTTACTCTATTAGTCTGTTCTGACACTGCTGATGAAGATAAACCCGAGACTGGGTAATTTACAAAGGACAGAGTTTTAATGGACTCCACAGTTCCACATGGGTTGGAGGCCTCACAATCATGGTGGAAGATGAAAGAAGAGTAAAGGGATGTCTTAAATGGCAGCAGGCAAGAGATAGTGTGTGCAGGGGAACTGCCCTGTATAAAACCATCAGATCTTATGAGACGTATTCACTACCATGAGAACAGCATGGGAAAGACCTGCCCCCATGATTTGATTACCTTCCACTGGGTCCCTTTCATGACATGTGGGAATTATGGGAGCTACAATTCAAGATGAGATTTGGGTGGGGACACAGCCAAAGCATATCATGTGGCAACCCCAGGGTTGCTGTGAGCCCATTCAGAATCATTCTTTGCTCAATTAAAATCTGTTAAATTTAATTTTTTTAGCACCATCATAATTCACTGATGTGGAAAACACTGGCTTTCAAGCCATGGAACAGACGGCAGGGTGGGTGTGGGTCCCAACAGCCCTGGTTTTTCTGGGTGTTGGTAGAGAGAAGAGCAGTCTTTAAATGGAGACTCTTATTTCAGTTCCAAATACTTTGAAAAGCACCATATTCCCCTGAAAACAGAGTAGAAGAAGCAGCAGTGACCCTGCATATTGGGTGGGTGGGAAGGGAGAGTGAATCTGCCTTACAGGAGGGCGGGCGGAGGGTGGGGTTTCTGGCGCTCTGGACCCCAGGAAGTCACTCACGCGCTCTGTTTCTACAGGCTTGGGACCCAGAAAGAGCAGAGTATTTTCTCACTTCCCCTTTGTGCTGCTTGGAAGTTTTGCCAGCTGTCTGCATGACCATCTTGACTTTCCTCAGGGTTTTTCTGCCACTTTCTTTCTGGCTTAACGTTCCCTTCAGCTTCGATCTGTTCTTCCTTTTTGTTGCCTTCTTCCACAAAGCCTGCTGGCTTCATTCTTTCTCATGTTTATTTCCAGTTCAGTGATGAGCATCGTGGTCTATCCATTCAATATCTGCAGAGCTCTGAATCCTCGTCTCCAATGCATTGCTCATTACAGGTTGTTTTGCAGGTATTTGGTGCCTGTTGAACCACACCTGGGCCCCCCTGCCTCTGCCCAGGCCCAGGGGCCACCTGTGGGCTTGGTCCTCAGCTTTGAGAACCTTGTGTGCTCTGCCAGTATCATCTTGATTTTTGTCGGGATGCAGTCACAGGGGTAACTGCTGCACACCCTCATTTCCTCATCCAACCTCCCCATCAGGATGGCCTGCAGAACTTGAGAAGGCCTTGGACAGATGCAGCAGGAGCCAGGAAGGGCTGGTCCATCTGATGATAGGACTCAAAACCTGTGTTTGTTTGTCTGTTCTCACACTGCTATAAAGAACTGCCAGAGACTGTGTACTTTATAAAGAAAAGAGATTTAATTGACTCACAATTCTACATGGCTGGGGAGGCCTCAGGAAACTTACAATCATGGCAGAGGGGAAGAGGCATGTCTTACATGGCAGCAGGTGAGAAGGAGAGAGAGAGGGGGAGAGAGAGAGAGAGGAGAGTGAAAGAGAGAAAGAGAAGCAAAGGGGGAAAAGCCCCTTATAAAACCATCAGATCTCATGAGAACTCACTCACTATCATAAGAGCAGCATGGGGGTAACTGCCCCCATGATCCAGTCACCTCCCACCAGGTCCCTCCTCCAACACATGGGGATTATAGTTCAGATTACAATTCAAGATGAGATTTGGGTGGAGACACAGCCAGAGCATATCAAGACCTAGAGCTTCCTTCTCTGTTTCTCCCCTCATGGAAGTTCTGGTCACTTCCTCCTGCTTCTCCCCACCACCGTCTGCCATCGGCCACACTCAGTTACTCCTGAGCAGTTCTAAGGCACACCTTTGGGCTCCATTGGCAGTTGGCGTGGGGGGAAATATTTTAAGTCAAGGCCAAAAGAAACAGCTCTTTGCATCTGGCCTGTGGGTCATGAGGAGACTCACAGCTATCCCCAGCTCACTAGAAAGATTTGATCCCCCAGGGCCACTGAGCGTTCCCATTTGACCTTCTCTTTGCGTCTCCCCTTCAAGAGTGGAGGGGGGCTCCAGCCACCAGGCTCATCCCTGATGCAAGAGTGGGTGAGAGAATGGAATTGAGCCCAGCCCAACTTGCCGTATGTGAATATCATTCCTTAAGTGGGTGGGGAGATCCAAGGTCTCCACAGCCCCTGCCTACAGTTCCTTCTGGAAAACAACCTTCTGGGTCATGGAACACTTCCTGTGTTTAGCTAATCTCACTTTTGCTGTGAGGAGGAAGTTTCTTTTCTTCTGCTTATAGAGAGGTGATGAGATGATGGACATGGGTCTGTATTTACTTCCCTTGACTCGTTGTTTTGTTTTCCACTACAAAAATAGCTTTCAGAAAGAAAAAGGGCTACATAATACAGGGGGGATGAAAGAAGCTCAGATGCTGTGTAAAATGCAGAACAATAACAGCTCCTGGAATGTTACTGATGCTTCTGCCATTCCAGCTGCTGCCGCTGAGCTGTCACAAGAATCAGGAGAGCCTCCTCAATGCCAGTACCGCGGGAGTGCTTGCTGCTAACCACTATTGTTACCTAAGTGACTCCTTGTGAGGAGCAGAAACCATCTTCCCTATTTCACTAGTGGGGCGAATGAGGGCTACAACATTTAGGAACCACATCCACGGCTCGTGTCAGAGCTGAAATTAGAGATACATCTTTCTTATCACAAAACCCAGGTTGGTAATTTCCATGCTAGAATGCTACCAATTCACTTTATTAAACACAGGATTTTGTAAAGTATGCATACCGCTCAAAACTCTTGAAACCCTTTCTAACACTAACAGTCAATACAGGTAATATATATAGTAAATCCATGGATTCCCATTTTAAATCCGTATCCTATATTACTTCATAGCATCCTCAGAGACCATGAGATGCAGAATGCCTATGTAAAAATTCTGCAATGAACCATTCATTTTCGATTCCACATTCCTATGATGAATAAGTGGTATGCATGGGATATGTAAGTACAATTAGCATTCATGGTTTAATCTTCCTTCACTGATAAAACATGCAATTGTCCAATCCTGTGATAAGATTTTTTTAAATTTGGGAACATTTTACTGTGTTGTCAGAGACAACCTCTCAGAACTGGTATTATTTTGTTCTCAGTTCCTGTTTGTACAAAACTTGACACATATGAGCAAGTCTGATGTACCTGCACAAGGAATATATGCATATTTTAAAAGTTGCTAGCATATTGAAAGAGGAGGTAGGAGGGCGGGAGATAACCCCGAGAAATCTGCAGAAGGGGGAATTTAATCCCACAAAGACACCAGGAAGGAGAGCAGGAGACCAAGCCCCACCCTGACTTTCCACAGGGGCTTGGATGAGCTCCCGAGGGCAGGCGCTCGCACAGCCTGAGTCTCAAACACACCATGCTCTTTTCCTCTGCGAGTTGCTAACCAGCGATGTTCAGGGATGTAATCATATCAGGGCCTCAGCTACTCCCACATGTGAAAGAGCTTCCCTGGCAAACGCTTGGTTTGAATCAAGCCAGCTTGACGGAGCTGCTGCTGTGAAGAGCTCAGAGAAATTTGGCAGAAATTCCGGGAACAGTTTTCAGTTCTCTTTAAGAGAAACACTCAGTGTGAATCACACAGCGTGATGTACATTTGGACAATTTTACCTTCTTGTATTTTTCAGAGCAGTTTCAAAGTTGAATATCAATTATATCTAAAAAAATGTTTCCCAGTGGGTGTAGCTTCTGGATGGAAAGCACGGAGTTTTCTTATGTTGGTTGGTAGTAAATAGTGTGGAGAGGCCTCACTCAGGGTGAATTCCGGCCATGTCCCCATTATTACAGCACTGTGCACCAGCAGTGTTGGTCCTGGCAGTGTGGCGTGGCCACATGTGTCCATTTCAGTCCTGCCAGGGTCTCTGATTTTCTGTTCACTGCTGCCATGTCGATTGCCCATTGAAAGCCTGTACTGTGTTTGCAAATGCAAGCTGCCTCAAAGCTGGTAAGTAATTTTCTTATGCAGAGGTTGATTTCACAAAAAGAAATGACACGATGAAAGCCAAAACAATTTCCTAATCCTCACGCTCTTTTTTCCTGTCTTTTATGGACACAATAAATAGAATATCGACGTTGTTTACAAAGAATATTTACTCATTTGGTTAGTTAGCACTGAAAACAAATCATGTGGGGTTGATGAAATTTAGACTGTTATCTAAAACTGGACACTTTTATTGTTATTATTATATTTGTCTTATCAATTTTATGTCAGTGTAAATCTAGCAGGATTTTGAGTTTTGTGTATGCAGAGGACTTTCATCACCTACAGGATCTGGCAACCTATGGATTTGATAAGTGGGTTGGCACATTGATGTTTTTGCACTAAATATTACAATCAATTCACCACATGTGTATTGTTGTGTGCCATGTCCCAGGATTTGTGTTAAGGAATAAAGGCATTAAGAAGATGAATCCATTGGAGTTTCTGCCCTCAAGAGATCTGTAGTTTAATGAGGAGAGGAGTTTATAGATAGTCACAAAACAATCAAAGTAAGGTACTGCATACAGAGCTCAAAGAATAGGAAAATTATACACAAGGTGGAAAGGAATGCTGTGTGGGGAGTGGTCAGGAAAGTCTCCATAGAAAAATTGCATTAAGGATATTTCTTAAGGAATGGAAAGGTTTTGTAGGGCAGAGTTGGATCATTGAGAAACTCACTGTGGTGGCAGGTATGTCATAAGCAAAGTTGAAGGGCTGCAAAACCATGACACAGACTCAGTCCAAGAAACAATCCATCTACCTATTACAAGTCACCCGGGGAAAAAGGAAAACAGGCTGATAAGGCAAAATGACACAGCATGCACCCTCCCCCTGTGAGTGTGTGAATACTGAAGCCTCACACTCGTGTGTCATGTGGGTTACTTTTTTTTCAAAGCAACTTTTTGGGAATCCATTCCAAAATGGCCGAATAGGAATAGCTCCGGTCTGCAGCTTCCAGCCTGATCGACGCAGAAGACGAGTTATTTCTGCATTTCCAACTGAGGTACCTGGTTCATCTCACTGGGACTGGTTGAACAGTGGGTGCAGCCCACAGAGGGTAAGCTGAAGCAGGGCAGGGCATTGCTTCACCTGGGAAGCACAAGGGGTCGGGGGATTTCCCTTTCCTAGCCAAGGAAAGCTGTGACAGACTGTACCTGGAGGAATAGTACACTCCTGCCCAAATACTGTGCTTTTCCAATGGTCTTAGCAAATGGCACACCAGGAGATTATATCCCACGCATGGCTCCACAGGTCTCACACCCATGGAGCCTTGCTCACTGCTAGTGCAGCACTCTGAGATCGAACTGCGAGGTGGCTGCCTGGCTTGGGGAGGGACATCTGCCATTGCTGAGGCTTGAGTAGGTAAACAAAGAGGGTGGAACCAGGTGGAGCCCACCACAGCTCAACAAGGCCTGCCTGCCTCTGTAGACTCCACCACTGGGGGCAGGTCATAGCTGAACAAAAGGCAGCAGAAACCTTTACAGACATAAACGTCCCTTTCTGACAGCTCTGAAGAAAGCAGTGGTTCTCCAAGCATGGTGTTTGAAATCTGAGAACAGACAGACCACCTCCTCAAGTGGGTCCCTGACCCCCTGTGTAGCCTAACTGGGAGGCATCTCCCAGTAGGGGCCGACTTGACACCTCATACAGCTGAGTGCCCCTCTGGGACAAAGCTTCCAGCGGAAGGATCAGGCAGCAATATTTGCTGTTCTGCAGTCTCTGCTGGTGATACTCAGGCAAACAGGGTCTGGAGTGGACCTCCATCAAAATCCAATAGACCTGAAGATGAGGGACCTGACTGTTAGAGGAAAACTAACAAACAGAGAGGAATAGCATCAACATCAACAAAAAGGACATCCACACCAAAATCCCATCTGTAAGTCACCAACATCAAAGACCAAAGGTAAATAAAACCACAAAGAGGGAGAGAAACCAGAGCAGAAAAGCTGAAAAATTCCAAAAACCAGAGCACCTCTTCTCCTCCAAAGGATCGCAGCTCCTCACCAGCAACGGAACAAAGCTGGAGAGAGAATGACTTTGACAAGTTGACAGAAGTAGGCTTCAGAAGGTCGGTAATGACAGACTTCTCCTAGCTAAAGGAGGAAGTTTGAACCCATGGCAAGGAAGCTAAAAACCTTGAAAAAAGATTAGACGAATGGCTAACTAGAATAAACAGTGTAGAGAAGACCTTAAATGACCAAATGGAGCTGAAAAACATGGCACGAGAACTACGTTATGCATGCACAAGCTTCAATAGCCAATCCGATCAAGTGGAAGAAAGGGTATCAGTGATTGAAGATCAAATTAATGAAATAAAGTGAGAAGAGAAGTTTAGAGAAAAAAGAGTAAAAAGAAACAAACAAAGCCTCCAAGAAATATGGGACTATGAGAAAAGACCAAATCTACATTTGATTGGTATACTTGAAAGTGACAGGGAGAATGGAACCAAGTTAGAAAACACTCCTCAGGATATTATCCAGGAGAACTTCCCCAATCTAGCAAGGCAGGCCAACATTCAAATTCAGGAAATACAGAGAACACCACAAAGATACTCCTCGAGAAGAGCAACCCCAAAACACATAATTATCAGATTCAGCAAGGTTGAAAGGAAGGGAAAAATGTTAAATGCAGCCAGAGAGAAAGGTTGGGTTACCCACAAAGGGATGCCCATCAGACTAACAGCAGATTTCTCAGCAGAAACTCTACAAGCCAGAAAAGAGTGGGGGTCAATACTCAACATTCATAAAGAAAAGATTTTTCAATCCAGAATTTCATATCCAGCCAAACTAAGCTTCATAAATGAAAAGGAAATAAAATCCTTTACAGACAAGCAAATGCTGAGAGATTTTGTCACCACCAGGCCTGCCTTACAAGAGCTCCTGAAGGAAGAACTAAACATGGAAAGGAACAACCAGTACCAGCCACTGCAAAAACATGCCAAATTGTAAAGACTGGCAATGCTAGGAAAAAACTGCATCAACTAACGGGCAAAATAACCAGCTAACATCACAATGACAGGATCAAATTCACACATAACAATATTAACCTTAAATGTAAATGGGCTAAATGGCCCAATTAAAACACACAGACTGGCAAATTGGATAAAGAGTGAAGACCCATCAGGGTGCTGTATTCAGGAGACCCATCTCATATTCAGAGACACACATAGGCTCAAAATAAAGGGATGGTGGAAGATCTACCAAGCAAATCGAAAGCAAAAAAAAGCAGGGTGGCAATCCTAGTCTCTAACAAAACAGACTTTAAACCAACAAAGATCAAAAGAGACAAAGAAGGCCATTACAGAATGGTAAAGGGATCAAATCGACAAGAAGAACTAACTATCCTAAATATATATGCACCCAATACAGGAGCACCCAGATTCATAAAGTAAGTCCTTACAGACCTACAAAGATACTTAGACTCTCACACAATAATAATGGGAGACTATAACACCCCACTGTCAATATTAGAAAGATCAACAAGACAGAAGGTTAACAAGGATATCCAGGGCTTGAACTCAGCTCTGCACCAAGTGGACCTAATAGACATCTACAGAACTCTCCACCCCAAATCAACAGAATATACATTATTCTCAGCACCACACCACACTTATTCCAAAATTGACCACATAGTTGGAAGTAAAGCACTCCTCAGCAAATGTAAAAGAACAGAAATCACAACAAACTGTCTCTCAGACCACAGTGCAATCAAATTAGAACTCAGGATTAAGAAACTCACTCAAAACCCCACAACTCCATGGAAACTGAACAACTTACTCCTGAATGACTACTGGGTAAATAACGAAATGAAGGCAGAAATAAAGATGTTCTTTGAAACCAGTGAGAACAAAGACACAACATACCAGAATCTCTGGGACACATTTAAAGCAGTGTGTAGGGGGAAATTTATAGCACTAAATGCCCACAAGAGAAAGCAGGAAAGATCTAAAATCGACACCCTAACATCACAATTAAAAGAACTAGAGAAGCAAGAGCAAACACATTCAAAAGCTAGCAGAAGGCAAGAAATAGCTAAGATCAGAGCAAAACTGAAGGAGTGAGAGACACAAAAACCCCTTCAAAAATCAGGGAATCCAGGAGCTGATTTTTTGAAAAGATCAACAAAACTGATAGACCACTGGCAAGACTAATAAAGAAGAAAAGAGAGAAGATTCAACTAGATGCAATAAAAAATGATAAAGGGGATATCACCACAGATTCAACAGAAATACAAACTACCATCAAAGAATACTATAAACACCTCTATGCATATAAACTAGCAAATCTGGAGGAAATGGATAAATTTCTGGACACACAAACCCTCCCAAGACAAAACCAGGAAGAATTTGAATCCCTGAATAGACCAATAACAGGTTCTGAAATTGAGGCAATAATTAATAGCATACTGACCAAAAAAAGTCCAAGACCAGATGGATTCACCAGATGGATTCTGGTATGGTAATTCTACCAGAGATATAAAGAGGAGCTGGAACCATTGCTTCTGAAACTATTCCAATCAATAGAAAAAGAGGGAATCCTCCCTCACTCATTTTATGAAGCCAGCATCATCCTGATACCAAAGCCTTGCAGAGACACAACAAAAAAGGAGAATTTTAGACCAATATCCCTGATGAACATCAATGTGAAAATCCTCACTAAAATACTGGCAAACTGAATCTAGCAGCACATTAAAAAGCTTATCCCCCAAGATCAAGTGGGCTTCATCCCTGGAATGCAAGGCTGTTTCAACCTATGCAAATCAATGAACGTAATCCATCGCATAAACAGAACCAAAGACAAAAACCACTTGATTATCTCAATAGATGCAGAAAACTCCTTTGACACAATTCAATAGCACTTCATGCGAAAAACTCTCAATAAACTAGATATTGATGGAATGTATCTCAAAATAATAAGAGCTATTTATGACAAACCCACAGCCAATATCATACTGAAAGGGCAAAAGCTGGAAGCATTCCTTTTGAAAACTAGCACGAGACAGGAATGCCCTCTCTCACCACTCCTATTCAACATAGTGTTGGAAGTTCTGGCCAGGGCAATCAGGCAAGAGAAAGAGATAAAACGTATTCAGTTAGGAAAAGAGGAAGTCAAATTATCCCTGTCTGCAGATGACATGATTGTATACTTAGAAAATCCTATTGTCTCAGCCCAAATCTCCTTAAGCTGATAAGCAACTTCAGCAAATCCTCAGGATACAAAATCAATGTGTAAAAATCACAAGCATTCCTATACACCAATAACAGACAAACAGAGAGCCAAATCATGAGTGAACTCCAATTCACAATTGCTGCAAAGAGAATAAAATACCTAGGAATCCAACTTACAAGGGATGTGAATGACCTCTTCAAGGAGAACTACAAACCACTGCTCAACGAAATAAAAGAGGACAAAAACAAATGGAAGAACATTCCATTCTCATGGATAGGAAGAATCAGTATCATGAAAATGGCCATACTGCCCCAGGTAATTTATAGATTCAATGCCATCCCCATCAAGCTACCAACGGCTTTCTTCACAGAATTGGAAAAAACTACTTTAAAGTTCATATGGAACCAAAACAGAGCCTGCATTGCCAAGACAATCCTAAGCAAAAAGAACAAAGCTGGAGGCATCACGTTACCTGACTTCAAACTGTACTACAAGGCTACAGTAACCAAAACAGCATGGTACTGGTACCAAAACAGAGATCTAGAGCAATGGAACAGAACAGAGCCTTCAGAAATAATGCTGCATATCTACAACCATCTGATCTTTGACAAACCTGACAAAAACAAGAAATGGGGAAAATATTCCCTATTTAATAAATGGTTCTGGGAAAACTGGCTAGCCATATGTAGGAAGCTGAAACTGCATCCTTTCCTTACACCTTATTCAAAAATTCATTCAAGATTGATTAAAGACTTAAATGTTAGACTTAAAACCATAAAAACCCTAGAAGAAAACCTAGGCAGTACCATTCAGGACATAGGCATGGGCAAGGACTTCATGACTAAAACACCAAAAGCAATGGCAAAAAAAGCCAAAATAGACAAATGGGATCTAATTAAACTGAAGAGCTTCTGCACAGCAAAAGAACTACCATCAGAGTGAACAGGCAACCTACAGAATGGGAGAAAACTTTTGCAATCTATCCATCTGACAAAGGGCTGATATCCAGAATCTACAAAGAACTTAACAAATTTACAAGAAAAAAATCAAACAACCCCATGAAAAAGTGGGCAAAGGATATGAACAGACACTTCTCAAAAGAAGACATTTATGCAGCCAACAGACACATGAAAAAATGCTCATCATCACTGGCCATCAGAGAAATGCAAATCAAAACCATAATGAGATACCATCTCACACCAGTTAGAATGGCGATCATTAAAAAGTCAGGAAACAACAGGTGTTGGAGAGGATGTGGAGAAATAGGAACACTTTTACACTGTTGGTGGGACTGTAAACTAGTTCAACCATTGTGGAAGACAGTGTGGTGATTCCTCAAGGATCTAGAACTAGAAATACCATTTGATCTAGCCATCCCATTACTGGGTATATACCCAAAAGATTACAAATCATGCTGCTATAAAGACACATGCACACATATGTTTATTGCAGCACTATTCACAATAGCAAAAACTTGGAACCAACCCGAATCAATGAGAGACTGCATTAAGAAAATGTGGCACATATACACCATGGAATACTATGCAGCCATAAAAAAGGATGAGTTTATGTCCTTTGTAGGGACATGGATGAGGCTGGAAACCATCATTCTGAGCAAACTGTGACAAGGACAGAAAACCAAACACCACATCTTCTCACTGATAGGTGGGAATTGAACAATGAGAACACTTGGACACAGGGCAGGGAACATCACACATCAGGGCTTGTCGTGGGGTGGAGGGATGGGGGAGGGATAGCATTAGGAGAAATACCTAATGTAAATGTCGAGTTAATGGGTGCAGCAAACCAACATGGCACATGTGTACATATGTAACAATCTGCACGTGTACCCTAGAACTTAAAGTATAATTAAAAAGAAAAACAAAAACAAAAACGAAAAAGCCACTTTTTTTTCTTTTTCTTTTTCTTTCTTTCTTTCTTTTTTTTTTTGAGATGGAGTCTTGCTCTGTCTCCAGGCTGGAGTGCAGTGGCGCTATCTCTGCAACCTCCACCTCCTGGTTTCAAGAGATTCTCCTGCCTCAGCCTCCCAAGTAGCTGGGACTACAGGCACATGCTACCATGCTCAGCTAATTTGTGTATTTTTAGTAGAGATGCGGTTTCACCATGTTGGCCAGGGGCAGCTCGATCTCTTGACCTCGTGATCCTCCTGCCTTGGCCTCCCAAAATGCTGGGATTACAGGCATGAGCTACCACCCCCAGCCTTTTCAAAGCTAGTTTTAAGAAAGGTCTAGTACTGGAAAGATTGCAAAGGGAGCCATGGATGACTCAGTTTTATTTCTGCTGTTGTGTTGCTGTGGGTAAGTTATTTGTTACCAGTGTGTCCCAGGTGCTGCATTTATAAAAAGAGGGAATTGACACAAGGTCTGCAAGGACATAGCTTGTGATTTTTACACATTTTCCCAAACTGACAACAACTCAGTTAACATGGTGTCCACCTAGCTATTTCAGTCAAAAACCTAGAAATTATCTTGAAAAATATGCATCTCAAATAAATATTTCTCTTCATCTCATATCTTGAGTTCACATGTCTGAATCTAAGCTTTTCTGCATAGATTCTCTGTGCAATCTAGCCCAAGCCACCATCATTTCTGTTTGGACTCTGACCACCCCTCCAAAATCATCTCTTTGCTTCTTTCCCTCCTTAGGAGCCATTTGGCATACAACAGCTAAAGTGATTGATTTTAGAAGGTCAATCTAGTAAGGCTACACTATTTTTGAGAAGTCTACTGTTTTGTTTTTTTTTTTTCATTTACATAGGGGGTATATAACTGGGCATGATTCAGGGAGAAAGCTTAATGAGCAGGACCCATTTCTGTCCTCCACTTCAATGGATGGGTTCCCAGACACTCCCTGTGATGGCCGGAAGGTTGGACCTGGGTCAGAGCTTTACTTGGGATTCTGCTTTACTCTCATGCTAGGCTCATCCTACTGCTATAGCCTTGACCTGTCATTCAGGTAATATTTTGGACTCACGGAACTTCATTTTGTCTCATCTCTCAATTTGTTCACAGTCATCTGCTGGAAACTTCCTGCAACAACCTTGTGTAAGATTACCCACGGCTCAATTTCTAACAGTGGCATTTTGGGTACAAACGTCAGCTTAAACCTACATTTTAAATTATTACATTGTTCAAAAGAAATACCTGTGTTTCGTCTTCTAGATAAATGCATCAAGTCATCATCTATTCTCAGAAAGTTTTAGAAGAGAATTCTTAAAATAAAGCTCTATAGCATTTTATTAGAACATTGTATTATCAGTGAGAATTTTATTTCCATGTCAAATAGAATCTTTGTTGATTTTATTTGACATGGAAATAAAATTCTCACTGGTATTTTGTTCTTTTATTATATATTATGTTCACATCTATGTTATTTTATTATATATTATGGTCACTGTGAGAATTCAAGGAAAATTCAAGAATATTTCCACTGAAAAAAAGCTTATAATTGATTCTGGGAAGCAAGCTATAAATACCTGATGAGTGAAATATCAAAACACCTCAACATCTGTTTTTAAGCTTATTGGTGAGTGAATTCCTTTAAAATTAATTGCCTTAGTAGCTCATAAGAGTAGCTCTGAAAGGCTTTCTGAAGGAAAGAGCATTTGAACTATGTTTTGCAGAGCAGGATTTAAAGAGACAAAGAGAAGGCAGGAAGCATCCCAGGCAGATGACAAGGCCTGAGTACATGGGTGGAGGTGAGAAAGGCCAAGACCCGTGGATGGGGCAGAAAGTGAATCCCACTGGAATCGTGCCACATAGCCGGGTCTAGTCAGGGGCAGAAGGTGGGCTCTTGCTTGCTTAGATAAAGAATAAGAAGGAAGTATAAAAATTTGGAAAAAAGCATTGCCCCAAACTCAAAACAATAACTTTCTGGGCTGGATCTGACATTGGTTAGTGATGTAGCTAAACAATGGCAGATATGAAATCTTAGCCTCAATCTTTTCACCTGCTAGCATGTGTGATAACACTCATCTTCCCCACCCCATAGTGTCTGTGGCCAAAACACGAGACAATGCCTGTCAAAGGGGCTTTAAAGGCAAAAGAGTACCAGAAAATGTAAATTCATTATTTAGGAACTGAGACGTTAATAATATTTAATTGAGGACATTTCATGTCCAAACCAGTGCTGGATAAATAGGAGTGGATTTTTTCGGAAGGGCGGAAAGGCATTAGGAGGCTATTCCAATATTCAGTAATGCCTAACAGGATACAAGCCTCTTTTTCAGCCTGACGGTGCATGCTCACAAGTGCTAGATGTGTTATTGCAAGAATCAAAGGCAGGGAAATGAAGTTATGTGGGTGAAATATTAGCACGGGAAATGTGTGAACACAGTTTGGAAGGCTGATGATTACGTACTGATGCATTTTGGCACGTGTACAAAATGAAAGGGAACATTAACATCATCCTGAAAACTTGCTGCTATTCCACTAAATAACACATCTTTTATTGGGAGGAGAATTTGAAATAACTTTCCAAATGTAGAGATTTCAAAAATACTTTTCTAGAAATTTCCTTTTATGGAATTCAAAGATGGGTGGGCATATATATTTATTTCTTTTGGGGGGCTTCAGTAGCACAGAATCCATCATACTCATCAATCCTTAATTCATGACTGTCATCATTGTCCTTGCAAATATCCAAACTTGTTTTATTATTTGATTTTTCAGTCCAAAATTTGTTTACTTCCTTGTATTTTCTATTTCTTTCTTGAGGATTTCAATTTCTTTGCTGAGGCTTTGTGTTTTTTCATTTGTTTCAATTATGTTTGCCATTGCCCTTGAAGTATCTTTACTGTGGCTGCTTTAAGTCCCTGTGAGGTCACTCTATGATAGCACCTCTATGCTGGATGTTGGCATCTATGGCTTGCCTTGTTTCATCCACTTTGTGATCTTGCTGCTTCTTGGCATGACAGGGATTTTCTATTGAAAGAGGTGCACATTTCGTACTATGTCAGAAGACTCTGGGTCTTACTTATCTCACTGGAACCTTCTGTTGCAGCTGGTTCCTTTGATACTGCTCTGGCTTAGAAGTGACTGATGGCTTGTTACTGCCAGGTGGGGGTGAGAGTCTGGGGCCCCATCTGGCTTGTGTGGATGGGGAAGGGCAGCAGTGTTTTGCATGTGTTGTGGCTGGAGTCGAGTGGGTACTGTCTAAGTTTTCTGTCTGGGTAGGCTGCTCCTTTCTTCTGCCAGGGCTTTCTTTGTGCCTGTTAGCATTTCTATATTGCTGGAGTCCTCTGCCCTGAGGTGAGTCCAAGAACTCACCTCTGTGCCATTCTTGCATCCTGAGGCCCCAGCCAGTCTGCCTTCTGAGCTGTCTAATGCTTGTTCTACTCATAATGTTCAAGATTATTCATTATGCTCAGTGGGAGGAAGAGGGAAAAGGATGCATATCCCATCTCCCCAGAAGGGAAATCCCACTCATTAAAAATAATTCCTTTGTACATTGTATATTTCTACTTTACTTTGAGAATCAGAGTTCCTAAGAGTATTATGGCTGAAGGACCAGGAGTGTCCCAGGTGAGCCTCAGTCCAGTCACTGTGTCAGCCTGTGAGTTTCTCATGGAAGTCCGACACACGAAACATCAATCAAAGAGCAGCACATGTTTGACGCTGGGCTAATGCCCCGTCACAGCAGTAACTGTGTAATTTATTATCCAAACTAGAATATCCAGCTGAGAATAAAAGAAAGTGCTAAAACATTAAAATTTTATGTACTTAAAAAAGTATATATTCATGTAAATTTGAGCAAAATAAAAATGTTTCTTTATAATAGTATCTGAATATTAAACACAAGCAGTTATTATTACTGTTGCATATTCACTTAATCTAAAAAGTTCTTGATGATGTCAACATTGATAATATCAGTATTTTAATAACTTATTTTTCAAATTACCTTTTATAGAATTCTTCTTTAAAAATATGTATATTTCTTTTCAAAGTTGCAAAAGTTATGGTTACAAACATTCAACATTTTCAACACTTTCAATTAACTACAATTTTGAAAAAAAGAATACTGGTGCTCCAACTGCTGAGGTACCAAGAACTCAGCCTCTCAGACCACCTGAGCCAGGGGCATCATTAGTCTGGATGTCAATTTTGGGTGGGAGGGGGCTGCCCCCCCTTCTTTGTTCAACCACAAAATGGTGAATATGGCTTTCTTGACTCAAGCCTCTGCTCCCTCAAAGAGGCCGTAACTCTACCTATTGTGTGTCTACAACATGTCCAGCGTGCTGTGACTCTCCCCCTATGGAGAGGTGGTCCTGCCTGGACTGACCCCTGTGACAGGTGCACAGGTGAATGCAGCATCACTTCCGAGCTTGGGTAGAAAACCCCGTGGAGCTCCTGAAGACTCCCTTCTGGACACGGACACGGGTGCCTTCGCAATACTGGCAGGGGGTGCCTCCTGCTGGCTTCCACGAAGCTGTCATGTGGCAAAGTGAGAGAGAGAGAGAGAGAGAGAGAGAGAGACATAGAGATTCAGATAAATGGAGAAGATAGAGACAGAGAGACAAAGATACAGAGACAGATGCAGTTTGAGAGAGGGAGATACAGACAGAGAAGATAAAGAAACAGATAGACAGATAAAGATTAAGAAGTGGGGGGCAGGCCCAGGGACCCTCAGCTGTTTGAGTTTACCTGCCTGGGTCACAGGTAGGTGCATGAAGGACGCTTCAGCCTTCCAGATGACCAGCAGACCTCTGTAAAGTCTGGCCGCGGTTTCATTGAGTGACTTTAAATAAAAAGCAGCTGGCAGTGCTTCTTCAACTCCCACATTGTAAGTTAAGTGAATGATCGTGATTGAGGTGCTGTGTTGGGGTTGTTTGTAAGGCAGCCAGCAGAGGCATCGATTACTGATACACCTAGTTTCATATTGACAGGAGAAGGCCAAAAAGCCATTCTCATTTTTATTTCTTTATAAGTAAACTCATTTTCTTGGCTAGAGTGTAGGTATTTTTTAAATCTCAAAAGTTAAAGACATTCATCAAAATCTTTTTTTCTTCAATATTTTGCCTTTTACTTAGGTATTTCATTTCTCATAATTTTTATCTTATTTTCTTCTTGCATTTATTGCATTTGGAGATTCTCAAGCATGCCTTCATTGCTGATTTTCCTTCTACAGGACTGGTTGCTTCAATCAGAACGCACATGGTGAGTTTCCGAGCCTCGGTTCTGGGCAGCGCTCCTCCCCACCTCTGCCTGCACCTGGCTGGGCCCCACATGCCTGCGACTGCAGCACCTCATTCTTCCTCGGCCTTCACAGAGCTCAGGTTTCTGCCTGTTAATTAAAACACAACCCAAGCATGTTTTACCATTTGCCTGCTGACCACTCCTCTAGCTCAGGGCCACACACATTCTGTTCTTCTTTTGTTCTTAGCATTTGACACTATTTGACACATTCGCTTTTTTAATGATGTTTTGGCTCCCTCTGTGAGAATATCAGGTCCGCAAGAGCTCGGCTGTGGTTTTGGTGCCTCTTTATGCCCAGTGTGCTGAATGCTGCCAGGCTCATGCTAGCTCCTTAAGAAGTACTTGCAATATTACATTTTATCCAATTAAATTGAATTTTGTTTTCCACAGAGTCCATTTTGAAATGTATGTTTTCATCTTTACTCTGATTTTCTTTATTTCTCCTACCACTCTCTTTATGCATTGTTACTTGATTTTCTGTTAACTGAGTTTTGAGGGAGGAGAAGTTGGCCACTGTTGCCCACTGGCTGGGTGAGTGAGTCCGGTTCTCCCTTCTTACCATCGGTTTGGTGGTTGTTGGAACTCGTCGAGCTTAAGGCGGGGATCTGTGGAGGCACACGGCCCACAGTCATGGTAGTCTGGATGCCTGCCTTTCCCCGAGGCCATCCTAAAACGCAGGTATGACTCTTTTTTTTTTTTCTTCTTTTTTTGAGACGGAGTCTCGTTCTGTCGCCTAGGCTGGAGTGCAGTGGCTCGATCTCGGCTCACTGCAAGCTCCGGCTCCTGGGTTCACGCCATTCATTCTCCTGCCTCAGACTCCCGAGGAGCTGGGACTACAGGTGCCTGCCACCACGCCCGGCTAATTTTTTGTATTTTTTAGTAGAGACGGGGTTTCACCATGTTAGCCAGGATGGTCTCAATCTCCTGACCTCGTGATCCGCCCACCTCGGCCTCCCAAAGTGCTGGGATTACAGGCGTGAGACAGGGCACCCGGCAAAATGCAGGTATGACTCTTTTGTCCACTCTGCTGTTAGCTGGAATGGACTGCTGCAGGCTTGTGATGGGCCATCTTAAAGAGGGAGACAGAGGCAGTCAGCTGAGGAGAAGCACCTGCTCTGTGAGGTGCTGGGGTCTTCCCTTCCTGCCAGAGAAAAGCCAACATCTCTAGGCTAGGTCAATACAGAGGAAGTGGGAGTCACCCCTTCACCTTTCAGCCTGACGTCCCGACCCAGTGTTACTTAGGTTTGACTAGTGGAATTGTGTCATTGTACCTGGGTAATCATGCATCAATACTGCTGATTTCCAGCAGTATTATAACTTTACATGCCTTATTCTATTGTCATTCATATTTCATTGAGAGGGTAGGAAAAGGTGAGTCAATAAAAAATAACTGCACAATACAAATCTAAAATCTATGTTGACTTAAAATGTTTAAATTACCATGTCTAAAATAAGTCTTTAAAAAGTCCCCTAAATTTAGCCACGATCCAATCTCTCACTACTCTACCTACCTACCTAAGTCTCTGTATATCTTCCTTTATAGACATGCATAGAAAGACACAATCCACCCACCCACCCACCCATTCATCCATCCATCTATTCATCCATCCATCCATCCATCCATCCATCTATCCATCTATCCACCCACCCACTCGTCCCCCCTACCCTTCCACCCACCCATCCTCCATCCCCCCCACCCATCCACCCACCCACCCATCTATCAATCCATTCATCCGCTCACCCACCTACCTATCCACCCACCTATCCATCTTTCCCTTCCTCCCACCCTCCACCCATCTATTCATCCATCCATCCATCCATCCATCCATCCCTCCACCCATCCATTCACCCACCCACCCATGTGTTCATCCATCCACCCATCCATTCATCTACCCACCCATTCATCCACCATCCATCCATCCATCCATCCATCCATCCATGAACCCACCTACCCATCCATCCATCTACCCACCCATACATTCCCCCCACCAATCCATCCATCCATCTACCCACCCACCCATCCATTCCCCCCACCCATCCATCCATCCATCCATCCATCCACCCACCCATCCATTCCCCCCACCGATCCATCCATCCATCTATCCATTTATCACCCATTTATCCATTTATCCGTCCATCCATGCATTTATTCGTCCATCCATCCATCCATCCTCATGTCTACATAGATAGAGACACATGTACATATCAATATCTCTATACAGAGGAAGAGAGAAACCTTTTTTTGCAAATTAACCGCCGTACTTTCCTTCCCAATGTTTGTGTGGAGAGCACACGGTTCCTGCGTCAGGACCCTGCAGGACGCGGGCCGAGGCTCCCAGCTGCCGGCCATGCCCTCGGCTCCTCTCCCGACACGCGCCAGCACTGCCCCCTGCTGGCCTCCCGGGAGCACTGCCCGCTGCCGCGGCGGGAGGAGACCCGGGAAGAAGCCGGGACCGCGAGCAGCTGGACGCTTTCTCCCTGGGGCTCAGCCACACATTTTAGTCACAGTTACAGACTACGGGGGATTTGAAGCCTTCGCTTTAGTTTTTATTAAGAAACATTGAAAATTCCATGGCTTGCATTTGATTTTTTGTTTGTTCTTCTTATTATTATTAAAAAATATATACAGAAATTGGTTGCAAGGAGCAACCGTAGTGAGGAGCATGGTGACGAGCATGGGTTTGGCGCCAGGTGCACCTGGTTTAATTCATTGTTGCATCATTGAAAGCTAAGACGAGTTTCAAACCCCCTCCCAGCCTTGTTGCTCTCATTTGTGAAATAGAGATAATAATAATGCTTGTCTTACAGGGGTTTGTGGGGATTAAATGTGATCAGAAACCTAAACAGCCTAGACATCATCCATAATCAATAAATATTAGCTACGACTTATTATTCATGCCTTTAGTTGTTAGTGTAAGTCATCATCCCGCCAAGCCAGGTGACCTAGGTGGGGAAGGAGGGAGAAACCCCTTGGTGTGCCCGGCACGCTGCCCACCCGAGGAGACCCCCAGGCCTGCCTGCCTCACTTACCCGGCTCCTGCTGCTCCCTGACCAGGCAGAGGCAGACGCAGACGCAGACGCCGGGAGGCCGACGGACAGGCTTATCCTGAGCCTGCTGAGACCAGGTGTTGCCCCCTTGGGTGAGGACACGCAGGAAGGGTGAACACATGAGGCTATTCTTCAGAGAGAACCCTTGATGTAGTCTGGAAAAATCCACAAGTGGGTCTACACCAGCAAAAAAAGAAAAAAAAAAAAAAAAAAAAAAGTTAATGCTGCAGAGGCTTCAAGTTCTGTTTATAGACACCATGAAATAGACCTGGTTCTTACTGGAATTTCTCCACCCACAAGAAGGTCACAAGAATGTGTCAACTGAAGCACTTCATACATAAAAGAGATACACAAATAAGTAGTATACTCAGAGATCTGACATGTTACATATATATATTTAATTAATAAACCTACTTGCTCATCATCATCCTGTCTGTAACCTCTGGGTGTTGAATGGATATTAGAACTTCTGTAATCTACAGTCTAGGTATAACTCATAAATTTTATCCTCTGAAAAGGTAATAGGAACATACATGGAGAATGCCAAGTCCAAACAGATTTACTCCTAAAATATCACAGCACAAGGATAACATTATAGCACAAGGATAAAATCATAGCACAAGGATAAGCTAGGTAACACAAGTTAAGAGAGGCCTCAAGAATGTCTTTAAGTAGTTGCCGTAAGCTTGTGAGGCTGTGCTGGGAGTGCCTCAGCTTTTCGTGGACTGGTCCTGGTGCAGCTGTGGTATGCAGAGGGGACCACTGACCAGCCAGTTGAACTCTCTGAGATCCCACATCAGTCAATTGGAGGTAGTAATGTTTACTTACATCTGGTAGACCACTAGGAGAACCTTATGCAACCATTGCACTGACGTGTGTAAGGATTATTTTATCCCTTGGAAATGCTGATGACATACTTTAAGTGAAACAAAAGTAAAGATTTATAAATATGATATGATTACAGCAATGTAAAGTAAAATAAAGAAGGAAAATGAAGCAGTAGTGAATTCAGCCATGGGATTATCAATAATAATCTTTTCCTCTATATTTTATAAAGTGTATTTGCAATGTTTCTGATGTAAAACATATTAATTTATTATAAATGTAACATTACCGTTTGTTTAAAATGAGCATCTTTGATTACAGAAAGAATAATCCTTTATCTCTAAACAATAGGCTTATTTTAGAAATAATACAGAACTTTATCGAATATCTTTAGATTATCTACTCTTACGGATATTATTTTTGATCAACAGATATATTCTATTAGGCTATTAAATCAGTCTTACATTCCCAAAATTAAGATGTTTTATGTTATTATTTTAATATCCTATGAGGCTCATTCAATATTTTATTTATAATTGTTACATGTCTACTCGTAATTAATGTTGGTCTTGTCAGATCTTAGATATCAAGACTTCAATAGTTTTATAAATAGGATTGATTTTTGGATTTTCATCATTATGTGTTTTGAAATAATTATTATAATTTTATTTAAAAATGTAACATTTTGTAACTTTTTTTGTAACAAGTAAAATTTATTCCTTGATAGAACTCAGGTAAACCAACTTTAGGTATAGTAACCTAAAACTTTAGTGGAAATAAACTGTGATTACTTCTTCACCCCCACCCCCAACAAGATATACACATATTGGCTTTATATTTCTTTTTGATGCAATTTACAGTTTCATAGAAAATAGTTTATTTATGAATATTTAAGATAAAGAGACTCAAATCCTGTATGTTTTAACATCCTGCCATTTTTCATGATCTAACATAGCAATGAGGAGATTAGTTTGTAATAATGCATTAGCTAAGAATACATTATACCTATAACATATATTCAGATTTCTGGAATAATTTTCAACGAGCTTGGGTATCGTGTCAGTCAGGATGCCTGATCGATAGGAACGGGAAGGCCATCACATCAGTCATATAACAACTTCACTCACACACACGTCTTGTTGTTGTTGTTTTAACTGAACAACAAGCCGTGGGTTCCAGGGACAGTGATGTGGCTTTTGTCTCTGTTCCCTGTGTCTCCCGGTCCCACATCCCCATGTGTGCTGGCTACACCCGAAGACTTGTAGCCGGTTAGATGCAGCCTTTCTAAGGGCCACAACCAGATGAGAAAATACCCAGACGCAAAGAAGAGTCTCAGTTTTTTTCTTGGACGTGAGAAACACTTCCCCAAAGCTCCTGATCAGATTCCTGCTCCCACCTCACTGGCCCCACGCCCGCTTTGACACGCTTGGCTGGGGTGTGGGGCTACCATGATTTGACCCTGGCATCTGAAAGGGATCATGTGTCGGGGTCACCCCAGGACCCATGACCTTCCGAGGCTGGGTGACGTGCCCAGGTTCACAGGGAGCCCTGAGAGGTTATTCTCGGTGCCCGAAGCTGAGGTGCACAAACCCCACTGCTACCCAGGCAGGGACAGGTGCCCTGCACAGCGAGGCGTGGATGGAGAAGCATCACCCTCCTAAACATGGGCCCTGTCAAAATCTCTGGGTCTTACATGGTGGGCTGCCTGTCACAAGGCCACGGTGTGGGAGGCACTGCAGAGAAGGGTCAGCTGAATCCCGATATATCAATTAAAAAGCCCTAAGTAAACTGCCCTATCCCAATGCTGCACTGGGAATGTGTGCTTCCATCACTGGCCCCCAAACTGGATTGTATTCTGAGTAAACCTCCCTAGAGTCCCTTCTTTCTCCTCCAACCCTAAGATGAATAAGCACTAAATTCTCCCAGCAGGTGGCAAGAGGCAAAGGCAAGAAGAGGGGCTTCCTGTCCGGTTGTGCCACTGGCACTGACAGATGATGCTACCTCCTGGCTCCGGATGCCCTGGTGCCTTCTGGAGTGGCCCCACTGCTTCGTGAGTTTGGCTGAATCTGTGGGTTGATGAAGAGGCTTCTCTGGCTTTCCTTTTTTTCCACAGTGAGCCGCTCTCCCTCTCATCACACAGGGGAAACTGTGGATACTCCCTGGTTGCCACCAGTTCGGCCCCATTTCCTGACCATCTTACAGTGGCTGGCAGAATAATGCTTCTCCTTCTCCCACCAGAGATGCTCACAACGTCATCCCCAGAAACAATGAATATGATGATGTCAGCTTGCAAAGGGGGTAGAATTAATTATGCTAATAGGCTGGTGTTAATTTAGGGGGATTATCCACATGGACCCAATATACCCATGGGACCCTTTAAACATGGAAAGAGAGGCTGAGGGCTGCAGCCAAAGAGAGATTGAAGATGCCAATCGGTTGCATTGACTGCGCTTCTGGCTGAGGAGTCCAGGTGGCCTCCAGGAGCTGGAGAAGGGGAGGGGCTGGGGGCTCTCCTGAGCCCCCAGAAGGAGCAGCCTGCTGACATCTGAGTACCAGCCCATGAGTTCCATTTCAGACTTCTGGCCTCCATCACGGGAGATCATGCATTTGTGTTGTTTCAGGCCAGCAGGGGTTTGCAGCAGGTGTTCCAGCAGCAGAAGGCAGCAAATGCACCTGCGTTCAGTCAGCGAAGGATGTGGGCTGAAGGCTCTTCCAATGGGCCACTTGGAAGACCAGGGTCTACCATTGAGTTTAGCAGACAAAACGCCAACATTTTGGCCTCATGACCTCTTCCACTTTGTGCTAGAACCATTAAACCCAGAGTCATAAAAATCCTCCGCCTCCACATCCAGTTAAAGCCACTTCCACCTCCACAGCCAGTTAAATCCACCATGGCTTCCCAGCTTGCAGATGCTACTGTCTCACTGTGCCCTCCCTTGGTGGAGAGACAGAGAGAGGGCATGCCCTGGAGTCTCCTATCAGAAAGACACTAACCTCACCCTTCCTTCATGACCTCATCTCACTCTCATCACCTCCCAAAGGATTCATCTCCAAACACCATCATACTGAAGGTTAGGCTTCCATATGCAAATCCTGGGGAGATAATTCAGTCCACAGCATGGCGCATGCCTGGGAAGCCCCTGCAACCCTGGCTCAGTCAGTGGATGAGGCCTCTGTGTCCCTTGTTGACTCTAGTTGATGATGACGCCCTGAGTGCTGCTGTGGGCACTGGCCCTGTGACATTGAGACTGGAGCTAGAGTAGACACATAAAATAGTTTGTGGTGAATGGGCACAAGGGAAGGGGCTCTCTGTGCAACATCCTCAGGGCTTTTCCATGATGAACAATTCCACAACCAGGAGTTCTGTTTGATGAGCAATTTATACCATCCTCAGCATCAGGTGGTTTCCTTCTAGAGAGCTCATGGTTTTTTTTTTGGTGGGGGAACAGGGTTTTGCTTTGTTGTCCAGGCTGGAGGACAGTGGCATGAACATGGCTCACGGCAGACTCAAAGTCCTGGGTTCAAAGGATTCTCCCACCTCAGCCCCTTGACTAACTGGGACAAAAGCACGTGCCACCATGCCTGGCTAAGCTTTTTGTGTATTTTTTGTGGAGACGGGGCCTTACTATGTTGCCCAGGCTGGTCTCAAACTCCTGGGCTCAAGCAATTCTCCCGCCTTGGCCTCCCAAAGTGTTGGGATTAAAGGCATGAGCCACCATGCCTGGCTGCTTATGCTTTTTTCTGTTGTGGCCCAGATATTATATCATCTCTCGTCTATAAATCTTCAAAACTTGAATTTGTGTGTAAAACCTAGTTCTGGGGAGGGTCAGAAAAGACACTCTTACCGGGAACATCCTGATCAGTCAACTGGGGCCTTGAATACCAGGTAACCTTTGACCTCTGCAGGTGCAAGGGCTCTGGGGGTGTGGGTTCCCATTGCTGTTGAGGGCCATTCTGCTTTGGGGGTGCCCTGGTCATATGATGTGGAGACACCATGTAGGACACTTTTCACGGAGGTTCGGAGGAACTGGTTCTTACCAGGGCATTCCTGCAGAATTGCCTCCCCTTGAGGGCCGTCTTAAGCTTCCTAACACCTAACGTGTTGTCTCAGGAGACACATGTGTTGGGATTACACATTCCCCAGCACCTTCTCATCACCTCTGAGAGATGGCAAGGCCTGCCGAGATAGCTCTGAGCACCTTTTAAAATGAATCCATCCTACAGATCATAGGATGACAACATTTCCTCATCTCCATCAGCCATACATGAAGGAAGTACACACTCCCAAATGCAGCACGAGTGACCACTGAACCCCTAAATGCAGCCCAAGCCATCCTGAATTTGGGGTGCTGGTCTGTTTGTGTGCACTTCTTCAGGACACAGTTGTCTACATGGATCTATGTTCCCATTCTTGCAGTGCTGGGGATGGAGCCCCCAGTAGGGGCTGTGGGACTCAGAGATTGTGCTCTTAGTCCCAGGCTCCTGGCACGTTCCTACACATGGATCATTTCAGAAAATGTGCTTTTCTATTAACAGATCTTCTCTAAAGAGTCAGGGCCAGGTGGCTCTATTCACACCACTTGTGTTGTGCACAGCGCATGGTTCATTTATGAAGAGAGAAAGTAATTCTCTTGGTGAGGAGTTTCCTTGTTTTCAATATCCCACAGTATTTCCATAAGCCATACTGAGGAGTGCCTGAAATAGAAAATTTTGATATTTAATTTGGAGCATCCAAGAAGAATTCATTCAGACTAGGAGCCAGAGAAGGTGGTATTATGATCTATTTTATTTTTTCTCCTTAAAATTCCTCTATATTAACATGAATAGATGTGTCTTAATTTTGCAGTAACTATAGATTTTTGAAATTCCTCCACATTAAACATGAATAGAATGTGTCTTAATTTTGCAGTAACTATAGGTTTTTGCTCCTTTATTTGTACATTTCTTCTTTCCCTCTTGCACCTTGAAAGTAGGTCATGGTACCGGTTTCTGGAGGGAAAAGGATCTGGCATTTTATAAGGACAGGATCATGTTAGGTAAGGAATGCAGTCCTAATGACACGAAAGAGGGTAAGCGAAGCCCAGGCTACCCCTCTGGCCAGGAACGCGGGAAAGAGGTTTAAAGGAGGAAGGGATGACTCAGGTGCCCGGGCCTCAGCGCCACTCAGGGAGGCTCTGGGAAGAGCCCAGGTGGAGAAGCCCGGAGCGGCCAGCGCAGATCAGTGCCCCCAGGAAACCACTCAGGAGGCTGCAGACCGCCCTCAGCCACCGTTTCTGGTTTGTGCCGTGGTCGCCTGGAGGCAGAAGCCAGACTGGAGCACAGGAGACAGAGTCCGCGGGCCGCTGGCCTCACCGAGCGCTCTGGGGCCGGCGGAGGGAGGATCCCCCACATGTCTGAAGCCTGGGATCGGGCAGCAGGGCCAGGGACTGAAGGGCTGGCTTCAGACCACACACTGCACACCTGAGCTGGAGGGGCCTCAGCTCAGTAGATTCCACGGGGGCTTGTGGTGGGCTCTGGTGCCCTGCCACTCTGCAGCATCAACGATTAAGGGCCCAGGTGCACAGGGAAGACGCAACACCCGGCGATTCCCTCCTCATCTCCCCATAGCTGCGAAGAAACACAAAGTCACCTCATCTCCCTGACAGGACACACGGAGGAGGCGGCGCTGGGGGAAGGATGGAGACTCAGCACACCCCGAGCTCTGTTTAGGGGAAGATGCCAGAACGCAACTGATGACAGGTTAATCTCCGCCCCCAACACGTTCCGCTCAGATGGCAGAGACTTGAAGCATCAACAGTTCTCTGCCCGTGTTGAAAGCATCTTTCCCTGTCCGTGGGAGGCCTGTAGGCCTGGGTGAGTACCTGCAGGGGAAGGGCTGGATCCGTCACTGCTGTCACTCCTGGGAACACCGTGGTGTCCACAGAAGATGGCATGAGGTTGACTCACTTCAACGCTGGAGCTAGGGGAGCCTAATCCTCCTGGAGCTTTCCGTGGAACGGTGCCAATTGTTTATCAAGAAGTGACGTCACTACCCCTCCAGTTTGAGATCCCTGGAACTGCCTTGCAGGCAGGGGTCAGCACACAGGACATTAATTAGGGAAGTTCCTGCAGTCCACCCCGGGGGAAGGGAGGGAAGGGAAGCATATAGGGCTGGGGAAAGGGACAGGTTGAACTATGATGCAATCTCAAAGGAGGCTCAGCCAAGCCAATGGGGAGCCCCGGGGTGCCCCAAGTTCCAGAAAGGGTCCAATCTGTGTAGCCCCATGCTGGCGGGGGCTGCCCCAGGAAGGCCCAGTGTGAGGAGGGAAGCAGCACCGAAGGAGTTGGGGGACTTCCTGAAGGGGCATCTGGGCAGTGCCTCACGGTCACCACCTCACCAACAGAGAGCAACTGATAGCAGTTTCTGAAGACCAAAGACCCAAGTGCTGTGAGCTCATGCAGAGGGACCTCCCTCCTCCAGATGGCTCAAGTGCTGTGAGCTCATGCAGAGGGACCTCCCTCCTCCAGATGGCTCAAGTGCTGTGAGCTCATGCAGAGGGACCTCCCTCCTGCAGATGGCTGCTGTCCTGCATTGCCTAGTTTCTTCAGTGCCCCTTGATTTCTAAGTCATGGGGTGGAGATGTCTTCCTTACAATCATCTTTCTGTGCAAGTCCTGGGGACAAGCATTACAGCAGATTAAGAGGGATTCAACACATGTGCTATACAAAGGCAGCGGCCAGGTCCCAGCAGCCTAATGTCCTGAAAATTCCCACAGTGCTGCAGCCAGGGGTGTTGACTGTTACCATCTTGCATGGTAATTTGGGCTTCCTGGGAAACACTCTCAGAGGGAGACTTGCATGCCGGAGGTTTACTGAGGATGCTGCTGAGAGAGCACCTTTCAGGGACTGGGGGAAGCAGTTTTGAGCAGAAGAAGGAATTGAGTTGTGAGGTGACCGAGGCCCCTGAGGAGCTCTGAGGCTGGAATGGCCCTTCAGGATGCCCAGCATGAAGCAAAGGCACTACCCATGGATGCTGGGAGGCCTCGTGGGATGCGTTGTGTGGACAGGATGACCCCTCAGCCAAGGGCAACTCTAAGAGACTTAGCTGGCAACTTTGACAGCCATCGCCCGGGAAGCTGAGGGTTAGTGCCTCACTCCTAAGGGAGAATCTGAGTGGTGACCACAACATCCACTTCAGTAATTCCTCTTCCTAGCCAGCTTCTATGGCTGGAAGGAATGGGGATGGTGCTCAGGTCCGGCAGGCTGTGCTTAGAATAAAGCATTTCACTGACAGTCACCTCTGCCCCCTCCTGATTTAAGTCTCAGCTTAGCTCACATTTCTCATCTAAAGCCTCCTCTTTCTGGGTTTCTAGTTCTGTTATATACATATATACATTTTTAAAACTTGCCTTCTAGGAAATGGCCTGAAATCTGCTTGTTTCTATGCTCCTAGACATCTCTAAACACTGATGGGATGGACCCAAGCCTCTGACATAAGTATTTTAATTGTAAAGCCTGGCCTCTTAGTTGTTTCTTTTACGTTTTCTGTCTCTCTGCTTCTCGTCTTGGCCATTCCGGGAGTGTTTTGGTATAACCCCCGACAGCATTCATATGCTCTCCACGGCACACCAGCCAGTCCCTGAAACTGCCTTATCTAATAGGAACAGTCTTCCTCGGTGGTGGAAATAATCTCCCAGTTGTACCTGGAAGTGTTGATGTCTACTCTTCACCATCGCCCAGGTGAATCCTTGATTGAGTCTATCAGTCAGGGCCTTGCTCTCCAACTCCAGGAATGAAGTCATCTTTCCTATCACATTTTTGGTAAGTCAGCCTGTGGGGGTGCTATGCACTTCCAACAAGAGGTGCCTGAGGAGAGGGGAGAGCAAGATAGCAAGATAGAAGCCTTCACCAATCATCACTACAGCAAGAACACCAAATCGAACAACTATCTACACAAAAAAGCAACTTGATGAGAACCAAAAAATCAGGTTAATAATAATAGTACCTGGTTTTAACTTCATATCACTGAAGGAGGCACTGAAGAGGGTCGGAGAAATGGTGTTGAATCACCAACACTGCTCCTTCCCCATCCTCCAGCAGTGGCTGAGCAGACAAAGACACCTGCAAAGCCAAAAATATTTGCTACCTGGCCCATGATAGAAAAGGTTTACTGAATCCTGCTGCAGAGAAATAAATGCAACCAACTTCAATGGTGTTGTGTACAATTTTAAGGTATTCACATGTCACCAAAAATCCCTCCGTTGATGCTTTATGGGACTTTGGTGTTCAGAAATCCTGTTTTAAAGGCCGGGGGTGCAGTGGCTCATACCAGTAATAGTAGTACTCTGGGATATCAAGGTGGGAGGATGGATTGAGGCCAGGAGTTCAAGACCTGCCTGGGCAACAAGTGAGACCCCAACTTTCCAAAAAATTAAAGAATTAGCCAGACATGATGAAATGCACCTGTAGTCCCAGGTACTCAGGAGGCTGAGGCAGAGGATTGCTTGAGCCTGAGAGGACAAAGCTGCAGTAAGCTATGATGACCCCACTGCACTCCAGGCTTAGTGACAGATCAAGATCCTGTTTACTTAAATAAAATCAAAAAGAAATGTTGGATGAATAATTTTCCTGTATCTTATTGTCATTTTGGGCTTGTTGTGCTCTTGATAAACAGCATACCCTGAATGCTGCCTGCTTTCTTTCCTACCTGACGAATGCTCAAGGTTTTCTGTAACATTCCACAGGCCTAGCACAGTGGCCACGGAGACAGCAGTGGTAACATTACTGTGTTAGTGACCTTCTTATTCAGGACTGCAGCAGCCTTGGAGCCCAGGTGAGAACAGAAACGTCCTGTGTTTATATCACCTAATATAGGCACAGAGATCTCCTGTGTCCACAAGTCTTCACAGTTTGTTTCAGAATATTTTCTTTTTTTGAGACGGAGTCTCGCTCTGTCACCCAGGCTGCAGTGCAGTGGCTTCCTGATACGGAAGCAAGAGTACGCCTTCAGAAATTTAGCAAATTCCCCAAGAAAGACTGCCAGCTCCCCCTAATCAGGAAACACATATCTCACAACTTACCACTCACCAAAGGTTCTCATTTCATGTGGTTTTGTACGAGCAAAAAAGGGCTTGTTGAAGACACCGGGTTCCCAGACCTGGACTCTTAGGGGTGGCTACTGAGCCCAGGACAGTGGGGCTTAGACGTTCATGTCTCTCCACTCCCCCACCCTTCGCTTCTACCTGTGGTCCTGAGCACTTCGCTCTTGATGCTGCCACTGCCCTTCCGCTTGCACAAAGAAGCCAACTTTTGTAAGAGAAGACCTGCAAATGTGTGGAAATGAACTGACCAGGTTTTATCTAAAGTCTAATCATTGTCTTCTAGGGTTAATTCCTAGGAATGATTTCCTTTATCATGTAAAAATGGATGTGTTATTTTTATTCACAAAATTATTCTTCATAAAATAATTCCAATTTTAATAAGAAAATGCAATGATTATATGAAGAGAATTGACTCATGTGGTAATAAACAGAAAAATGGCAAAAAGCAGAAAAAGTCACCATTCTTATTCACAGAGATTCTCAAAAATTAATTCAAAGTTTATTTCCTAAATCATTTCAGTGGGACTACTAAAAGTGAAATATGTTCAGTGTCTTGAAAGAATGAAATAAATAATTAGTGAAGAATTAATGGCAGTAACAGAAGGGGAATATTTAAGTATAAGTTGTGACCCACATAATAAAGAATGATAAAGACTATAAAGAAATAAGAGCAGGAAGCTACAGAAACTACAGCAAATAAAGCAAATGAAAATGATGCATCCACTTTGGTCTAATTGAACCCCAAGGAAATTTTTAAAAGATTGATATATATTGCTAGAAATCTCATGATAAACTATTTTGGAGTAGCAACAAGTTGGAAATTCTTTCAGCTGGTGTTGAAAACATCCCTATAAACTTTATAAGATCAATCAGTGAAGAAGGAAGCTTGCAGAACCAAGCTTGCAGCACATTCAGCTTTAATCATTAGGTCAGCTTCTCTCTGACCTGCTGCTTCTTAATTGTTTGGTGTCTTTTATTCCTGAATTATGTAGACTCTACATTACCGTTTCTCTTGACTGCACTATAGATAACAAACATTCTGAAATGCTAAGTTTTTCCTTTGAGATATTCTTTCGGGTCCTGCATGCAAATGAAACTACTGACACCAGCTGGTCTGAATAACTCCATGAGAAGCTGACTTACCCAAAGCATGCAGTTTCCACATCCTGATGATTTCATCCCTCTTACCCTGACAAATGACCCCAATTTTCCAGCCTCTTGTCCTCCATGGTTCCTTAAAAAAACCCAGACCAGAACTCCTCTAGAAGATGGATGTGAGGGTCTCCTTCCATCTCTTTGCACAGTGTCCTACGATCAGTGAACTCTTTCTCTGCTGCACACTCTGCTGTCTCAGCGTATTGGTCTGTAACTGGGCAGTGGGCATATAAACCTGTTGGTCTTGTAACAGTGTGATCAATATTATGTAAAACCTAGATGAATGCACTTTGTTCCCTGATATTGGAGCTTTAACTACAATTGCAGTTCAACTACAATAAGTTGCCATTTATTTGATTCCATGTGCCAATTGACTTACATAAATTTTTTCTAACAAAACCACAAATAAACAAAACATCACTGAGAAGATATTGATACCCAGGAAATAACTGAAGGAATTTCATGAGGAAAAAAAATAGAAAGAAATGATTAAGAATCAAAACAGAGAGACCATTTCTTGTTAATTCTGGGATCTTGTAAGGTCCATTGTAAGGTCCGTTGTAAGGACCTTACAAGATCCCAGAATTAACAAGAAATTCAGAAAGACTTATTCAGAAATACTTACTTGTATGAGATGTTTTGATGTCAAGGCCAATTCTTGGAATAATAACCTTGAACATGGTATATTAAGTGGTATATTAAGTTCACTTTATGAACTTATTTGAAATATTTTCCTTCCTTTTCTGGCTGGGCTCCTTTGCATCAGACATTCTGACTTTGATCTGTGGCCCTGGGTGGGTTGAATGTTCTGAACATAGTTCGTATGTCTGCCAAGTGGGAATGGATGAGGGTCACTTGCTTGAAGAGTTCCTCTGAGGCTCGTAGGGAAGACGCGGTCACATCAGCCCAGCATGACCTTCCAGTGCCCGGCCTGTGCACATTTCTTCCATGATTTGTGCAGCAAACCTCATGTTTATCCACAAGAAACTATTTTTGGTTCTGGGATTGCAGATCGGAGCTTGCTCTTAGATGCTTTTTCATAACCACTAATTGAGCTATAATGATTAATTAATTCACCAAACATTTTTAATGGATATTCTGCACTTGAGTTGACAGTTGGTCCTGAGAGGTCTATTAAGAGAATTAAGAAATAGCTGTTGACCCCAAGGACAGAGTCCTTGTCCTGTAGTGGTGTGAATCAAGCCTGGACTCACATGAACATGAAGAAACAACCATTTTTGTTATCTCTTGACGACTATCTTGTAAATTGAGCATAATGTGCTACATTATAGCCTCTGTGCTTCAGAATGATGTGGAAACTCCTTCACTTATACATGTAAATGTTTATAAGAACTTGGAGCTACGGAACATTTAGGCACACACATTATAGTGCAAAGGGAAATTCACAGAGAAACCGGACTCCAGAACACTCCTTATCCATCTATCATTAAAAAGATAACAGGAGTAATTTTGTGGGTAAAGATTATTATTCTGCTCAATTACAATGTAGAGTTGGCACTGCCAAATCCTGAGGCAAACAATCATCTTCTTTTTATGTTTTCTTTTTTTAATTTGTGATGACTATGAGCCACTTCTTGGAAAAGAAACTGCATAACAGGTTTTGGGTCTGGCATTGCGTATCTGGGGCACTAAGATTATTCTGAGGGAATAACTTATTTGCATCTATAAGACCTCATTCAAATACTACCTCTCCTTTGCTTCGTCTAGTGACACATAATTCTTTTTAACCTAAGATTCACCCAAAAGTAATTTATGTTTTGCTTATGAAATTTTTAAAACAATCATGAAATTATGATCATTGTAGATTTTATTTGTAGTAAAAATCAGACATTCTAATTGGGCTGAAGTTTAATGAGAATTAGAGACATCAGTATGAACCTGGGAACAAAACGATGGTTTGTCTTTATAACAAATTATACAGTTGAGGGAAATGTGTATGATTTTATAGCATTTGATGAAGTGCTTGTAATGAGTGGAAGTTTTGAACAGCTAACAGGTGCTGCGATGTGATGGCAACTTCTCCTCTTCCAGCTGAGACCAGTCTCAGGAAGAGAGACACTGCAGGCCAGTTACACCTAACAGAGCAACTTAAAAAACACACGTAACCTCAGGCTGTCTACTTTCCAAAGGGGAACGGTCATAAATAGGAAATTTATCTCAACAAAGTGAAAGGAGGAATGAGCTGTAGGAGCCAACAGAACTGTCGTTCTTCTTAAGCACCAAACGCTTGGCGTCTGAGCGTTGGTTTTCATGGTGTTCAACACAGGGTTTGCTAGAGCATGCACCAGCTTTGTGAAGGGCAAGCTTGCTTGCTCCTGGGAAAGGGGCTGGAGGAAAAGTCTCCAACACATCCCACTGAGTAGAGAAAGGGACACATAAAGATACAAGGAGTACCAGAATTTTTGGAGACAGAACTATCAAAGCTGCTACTGAACCAATGACAAAATGGAGAAAACAGATGATACCAAAGAGCGTAGTTTGAATTTCAGAACCATAATATGTGGTCACAAAGTGGTAACCTTGTAGTCATGAGGGTATTATCTACTGTCATTTGCATGATAGAGAAAACGCCCATAGATGAGGAAAGAATAAAAACTCAAAAGCTTAACTTTCCTAAGCAAGAGAAGAAAACCAGTTAATATTAAACAGGAAGTAAGGTTAGCACTTGAAAAAAAACATTGCGAGCACAATGCTGCATTTCACACAAGAAAAAGATGGCTCAGTTACAAGATAAACTAAAGATGCGGCCTTTCTCTATGTCTGCAGAACACAGGTAGTAAAATGAACCTGCAGGTGCACCGTTATTCGCCGGGTGTTCTGCAATTGTCATGGAGGTGCCACGGAGGGGAAGTCAGGACAGTGGAAGGGGGTGTACTACGAGAGATCCAGCTTACGAGGGCAGAATTTCTGTAGGAAATATGCTATGCATTTGAATGGGGCTGAAGCCTCCTGTGGAAGTGCAACTAGCAACTAACAAGCATCTCAGAGCAAATGAAGTGGAGGGAAACTTAAATTGTGGCGTTGCTGAGTTTTGGCTGCGTAGATGAGACAGAAATTGCACCATCATTGTTGTTTCGTCTATCTTATTTTCTAGGCTTGGAGCTCCTTGGGGAAAGAAGTTGCTCTATTGGATTTGGTGTTTTCTCCATGTAACACAGCTCCAGGCAGACACCAGGTGCTTTAATGAATCTTTCGTGCTTTCTGGGCCATTTTTCAACTGTCTGAATGTTCCCAATTGCATCACTTTGAAGAGCTTGGTAATTTAGCTAAAATTGCAGCTCTGTCCTGAGAAAGCATCAGATAGCAAACATATCTCCATAGAGAAGGATTATAACCAGTCCCAAGGTATGTTAGTGAGGAAGCAATTAAGTGCGTGGACCAAAAAAAAAAAAAAAATTAGTGAAAGTATAATGTAAACATGAAGGGCAGTGCCAGCAGAGCAAGACTCCCAGGTCTGAAGTTTGCACCTCTGTGCTGTGAGCAGGACCCAGAACGGCTGCCGTCATGAGGAGATGGTTCAGAGGTCACCCTCCGAGCTGCTCATGTAAGGGTGGGTCCTCCAGGTAGCCTCATTTCCCTGCTATACCTGCTGTAGGAGCCATGGTATCAGAGGGGAGTTTATCAATGAAAAAGTCATACAAATAAATTTTAGAAACAACAACAATGAAGACCAAAGTTCTCCATCCATCATTTTCCGGTGTGATCCACGATTCCTGGTTTTTACAGAGTTCAGCAGAATCTCGCTATTAGCCCTGCAGCCTGGCTGTGAGGAAGCTGTTCCATGCCGTCACCAGCATCAGGTCCAATGCACATCTCTCTTTCTCGCTGGGTGCAGAGGATCCAGTGGAGAATGCTGGGGCTACCTCGTGCACGATGGAGTCACTGAGGAAAGGAGCCTGGGGCCCTGAATGACTGGGTGGAGTCCTCTTTTGCCCCTCGCCATCAGCTCTGTTGGACTGGATAAAAGTTAGAAATGGAAACTGTGTTGGATTTAGCCACTGAGATTTGGGAAATTATTTTTTATAGTAGAGTGCCTATGCTAATGAATATAGAAACAATTCTAACTACTCTCCAAATATTTTCATCATGATACATAGTCCTCCCAATAGGCCAAAATGATTGATTGCCTCCCACTGTTGCCATTGCTGTCCGTTAGTCATCTTTTTAAAAAGTTTGCCACCATTGTCAAACAATGAATCTCAATTATTTAATGTGGACCTAGTTAAGAATCATATTGTGCGCCATTTCATGTGTTTATCAGCTTTTCTTCTGTGAATTGTCCCCCTCCCCTCCCCTCCCCTCCCCTCTCCTCTTCTTCTCTTCTCCTTTTTTGTGAGACAGAGTCTCACTCTGCTGCCCAGGCTGGAGTGCAGTGGGGTGATCTCGGCTCACTGCAGCCTCTGCCTCCCGGGTGCAAGCAGTTCTCCTGCCTCAGCCTCCTGAGTAGCTAGGGACTATAGGTGTGTCCCAACACATCCAGCTATTTGTATGTGTATGTGTGTGTATGTGTGTGTTTGTGTGTGTGTGTATTTTTAGTAGAGAGGGGGTTTTGCCATGTTGACCAGGCTGGGCTTGAACTCCTAGCCTCAAGTGATCTACCTGCCTTGGCCTCCCAAAATGCTGGGATTACAAGCGTGAGCCACTGCGCCTGGCCCTGTGTGCATTTTCAAGGTGTAGGCTGCTTGGGACCTGCTGAGCTGGGAGGGAGCCACTGTTTGGGGTTTCCTGCACCCTGATTCTGATTTCTCTCTGTCAATAACTTGTTCTTGCAGATGCTGGGCTTGGATCAAGAACCAGGAAAACTGCTTTTTAAGCAGAAGTTAAGCGATGGCCAGTATTGGCTCCCCCAGAGTTGTCATGAAATCCTAAGAATACAGAGATGGGGACTTGCTCTATCCTGGCAGGACCCTCCTTGGGTGACCACTACCATTGGCAGCTTTTCCAGATACAGCACCTCAGGCTGAGCAAGAGGCAGCCACACAGCGTCCTGCCTGTCCCCATCCCTGCAACAGCTGTCAGCACGGGTTCTGCATACTCCCTACAGTCAGGGACTTCGGGCAAGTCCGTCTGTGGGTGTGTTTTCTTCCCAACTTGGCTGGGTTTTTTGTTATTTTTTCAATCGTATTGTTCATCTCTTCTTACTGATTATCGAGCACATATTTATTCATTTTATGCACATATAAATGTAGTATGTAAATATATCATTTCTATATGTGATCTATTAAAACATTGCACAAATATGAAGATACAAACTTCATATACTTTTACTAATGATCCCCTTTGTCTGCCTTGTATATTGAATATAATTTCATATTTGTCATTTATCTTTTGAATGTTTTTAGTGCAGATATTTTCACGTTTCTGTCAATGTATTACCGACTTTTTTGGTGAAGCATCATACCCAGAAAACCCTTGTTTCTGGAAATTTCAACATTTCCTGTGTGTCTGCTTGTGAGGAGTCAGCGGGCAGGACCCGGCCTCCTTCTCCCTGGGTCTCAGCAGGGAGCACTGGCTGGCCTGTGAGTCCTGGGGAACAGATGCTCCTTCTGTGGGGTCCCCGGGCCGGCCGACCGACGGCACCGCAGGCCAGCACTGGGCACCCCGGGAGCGGCCTGGCCTGGCCCATCTCACTCACTCGGTGCTGAGCACTCCGGAGTGGGGGGTCAGCTTTGCTCCTCAGGGCTGCAGGCGGATCCTGCCGCATGGAGCTGATTCCACCTGAGGCTGAGGCCCGGGTTTCCCACCCGCCGCAGAGCAGATGAGCTCCCAGGAGGACGCCCTGGCTTCCCGCCCAGGTCACTGCGATGCCCCAGCGCCTCTGGCGGGAGCGTGCCACTCACGTGGTGGCACCTGCTCCGCTGCCGCAGTTTTGTTTACAGAAATCGCTTCACACGGGGAAATTATGCTGGCTTCACATGGAGGTCATGTGGTTCACGTGGTTTTAAAACATGTCTGACAATTCCGACGCCGCTCCATGAAGCTGCAGAGACTAAGTGCCCGCCCTTGAACTTGGGCAGTGATTGAATAAGCATTAGGCGGGGAAAGGGAAGGGCTGGATTGGAACCAGGTGTGTGAGTCTGCAGGTTTCTCTTGGAAAACTCTCTCTGGAGCCTTTGGGGCCATCTGAGAACTCTGGCTTCCTTGAGCCTATTGTAGGGAAACTACACGGAAGAGGAGAGAGGGGGACGGAGGGAAGAAAGGGGAAGGGAAGGGTGAGGCAGAGAGAGAGGTGCCAGAGACAGAGAGGGAGGCCCACGGTACCACTGCTGCTCCAGCCCCAGCTGCCGGGGTCTCCTCAGGCCAGGCGCTGGACACCAGAGTGGAGAGGCCTCCACAAGGACTCTGTGCTCAGCCATGTCTGCTGCACCTGCCGGAGACCCTCAGAGTGAAGGTGTTAGCTGGGCCCAGGCACACCCTAGAGCCCGAGGAGATAATAATCAACATTGATGTTATTTTGCTTCATTAATTTTGGAGAAGTTTGTTATACAGAAACAGATGACCCGAATGGTTTTCATGCAACTATTTGCCAGCATGACCAGGACAAACTTTCCCACAAACGGACCATGCAAAAAGATGTTTAGACAACAGCCGTAACTCCACAGACTTCCTCCTGATGAGGGGGACCATACATCCTGTTTCCCCTAGGATATCCTGGTTTACATCCTCTGTCTATTTGATGCCCTTTTGCACCCCCAAAAGTTTGTATAAAAAAGTGCATGCTCTTCCTATTTCATGCACGTATTGGTGGCTCCTGTGGTTTCAGGAAACCACTACTTGGCACTGTGCTTGGCGCTATGCTAAGCCAGCTGGTGAAGATCCCAGTGCAGAAGGAGATGCAGTGTGTTGGGTAGAGCCATGTTCCTCCGAAAGGCACGTTCACATGCTTGTGAATGGGACCTGCTTGGGAATAGGGTCTTTGCAGCTGTGATCAAGATGAGGTTAGACTTGAGTAGGATGGGCCATAATCCAGGGACTGGTGTCCTTATAAAAGGGAACTTTGGACACAGAGACACCAACACACAGGGAGAAGGCTGTGTGGTGACGGGGCAGAGACTGGCATGGAGCAGAGACTGGTGTGGGGCAGAGACTGGCATGGGGCAGAGACGGGCATGGGGCAGAGACTGGTGTGGGGCATACACTGGCATGGAGCAGAGACTGGTGTGGGGCATAGACTGGCATGGAGCAGAGACTGGTGTGGGGCATAGACTGGCATGGAGCAGAGACTGGCATGGGGCAGAGACTGGCATGGGGCAGAGACTGGCGTGGGGCAGAGACTGGTGTGGGGCATAGACTGGCATGGGGCAGAGACTGGTGTGGGGCATAGACTGGCATGGGGCAGAGACTGGCGTGGGGAAGAGACTGGCGTGGGGCAGAGACTGGCGTGGGGCAGAGACTGGTGTGGGGCATAGACTGGCGTGGAGCAGAGACTGGTGTGGGGCATAGACTGGCATGGAGCAGAGACTGGCGTGGGGCAGAGACTGGCATGGGGCAGAGACTGGCGTGGGGCAGAGACTGGTGTGGGGCGTAGACTGGCATGGGGCAGAGACTGGTGTGGGGCATAGACTGGCATGGGGCAGAGACTGGCATGGGGCAGAGACTGGCGTGGGGCAGAGACTGGTGTGGGGCATAGACTGGCATGGGGCAGAGACTGGTGTGGGGCATAGACTGGCATGGAGCAGAGACTGGCGTGGGGCAGAGACTGGCATGGGGCAGAGACTGGCGTGGGGCAGAGACTGGTGTGGGGCGTAGACTGGCATGGGGCAGAGACTGGTGTGGGGCATAGACTGGCATGGGGCAGAGACTGGCATGGGGCAGAGACTGGCGTGGGGCAGAGACTGGTGTGGGGCGTAGACTGGCATGGGGCAGAGACTGGTGTGGGGCATAGACTGGCATGGGGCAGAGACTGGCATGGGGCAGAGACTGGCGTGGGGCAGAGACTGGTGTGGGGCATAGACTGGCATGGAGCAGAGACTGGTGTGGGGCATAGACTGGCATGGAGCAGAGACTGGCGTGGGGCATAGACTGGCATGGAGCAGAGACTGGCGTGGGGCAGAGACTGGCATGGGGCAGAGACTGGCGTGGGGCAGAGACTGGTGTGGGGCATAGACTGGCATGGGGCAGAGACTGGCATGGGGCAGAGACTGGCATGGGGCAGAGACTGGCGTGGGGCATAGACTGGCATGGAACAGAGACTGGTGTGGGGCAGAGACTGGCATGGAGCAGAGACTGGTGTGGGGCATAGACTGGCATGGAGCAGAGACTGGTGTGGGGCATAGACTGGCATGGAGCAGAGACTGGTGTGGGGCAGAGACTGGCGTGGGGCAGAGACTGGCATGGAGCAGAGACTGGCGTGGGGTAGAGACTGGCGTGGGGCAGAGACTGGCGTGGGGCAGAGACTGGTGTGGGGCATAGACTGGCATGGGGCAGAGACTGGCATGGAGCAGAGACTGGCATGGGGCATAGACTGGCGTGGGGCAGAGACTGGCATGGAGCAGAGACTGGTGTGGGGTAGAGACTGGCGTGGGGCAGAGACTGGCATGGGGCAGCCCCAAGCCAGGGAAACTGAGGCTTGCTGGGAGCTACCAGGAGCTGGAAGACAATCACAGGACCTCCTGTAGAGACATCACAGGGATCATGGTCCTGCCGACATCTTGATTTTGAACTTCTGGCCTTCAGAACTGTGAGAGAATAATTTTCTGTGGTTTGCAGCCACCCGCCATTTGTAATTTTTTATGGCACAAAGACAAATTAGAAAATGAACACAAGCAGCAAACACATCTTCCACTGACTAAGGCGATGGACTGAAGGAGAAAGTGCAGCCAGGATCAGAATTTTAATTCTGGTGACAACCGTCTGTCTCAGAAGCAGAAGCCTTCCAGGAGAAGGGGGCAACGTGGCCGCGCTGAGCCGATGCTGAGGCCTCACAGCGGGCGTCTTTCTTGCAGGCGTGTCTGTGTTAGCACAGAAGCCTACGCCCCACCCTCCTCCCCTACGTCCTGTTATTCTTGACTGTGAGATTTTGCAGAAAGCGTCGTGCTCTTTCCTCACTTGTGGAAGATGTGGTCATGGATCCCTTCGTCAGCAGTGGAAAGGAAGATTGTTTTCAACTACTGTGCTTTCCCCTACGTTTAAAAAAAGTTTTTATTTTTAAATTGTTTTTAGAGGTAGGGTCTCGCTCTGTCGCCAAGGCTGGAGTACAGTGGTGTGATCGTAGCTCACTGCAGCCTTGAACTACTGGGCTCTAGCCATCCTCGCGCCCTGCTACCGGAAGGAGGGCCTTGAGTGTAAGCTGTGCAGGTTCTAAGTGTTTTGAACAAAGAATTGGACAAAATGCACAAACAAAGTAACAAAGAAGTGGAACACAGGAAGGAAGCAGCAAATGCAGGGGTGGATTACAGTGAAAAGGCACTCCTCAGGGAGGGAGTGCGTCTGAGCAAGCAGCTCGAGGGCCCAGTTACAAAGCTTTCTGGGTTTTAAGTACTTCTTTTGAGTTTCCTATCGGTCACTCCTGATCTGGATGAAGGATTTGGTCTGTGGCTAATTAAAGGCTGAGGTGAACTGGCACTCCGTGCCAATGAACGGATGGCGATGCTTGGCTCTCGGCCACTCCAAGGCACTCTCCCTTTCTCTCTGAAGCAAGGTGGAAGGGGAGGGCTGTAGGGAGAGCAGCCTTTGATCCTTTGCTACTGGGCCTGGGGAGACGGGGGAGCGGGGTCCTTTTTGGTTTAGCTTTAGGAAGTTTGTGGTACTTGGCCTTAGGTTCCCTGCCCCCAGACCCAGGTGTTTTCCTTTTGATCTAGGTTTGGGAAGTCATCACGAATTGGTCTCAGATTCCCTGCCCCCAAACCTTGGTGTTTTTCCTTGATTCAGCATGAATTAGCCTTAAGTTTCCTTCCTCCAGACCCAATTCTCCCGCCTCGACCTCAGCTTCCCAAGTAGCTGAGACCACAGATGTGTGCCACCATGCCTGGCTAATTTTTGTTTTTATTTTGTAAAGGTGAGGTCTTGCTATATTGCCTAGGCCAGTCTTGAACTCCTGTCCTTAATCAGTCCTCCCACCTGGGCCTCCCAAATTGCTGGGATTATAGGCGTGAGCCACTGTGCCTGGCCATTTCACACATGTTTAAGGCACTGGCTGTCTAAGGACTTAGGAAAGTTTCCCATGTGCTCCCAACACTCATGAAAGTAAAAAGGAAAATGTCTCTAGAGAGCTCTCAGAGCCTCAATTTCATAGTTTATTGAAAGAATGATATTCAGTAGTAAAAATTAAAATTCCTTAAAACCTTAACTGTGTTTCCTTGAGTAGTTTTCCCGTGGAAAGAAATACTCTTCCCTCAACCTAGAAATTAGAAAGGATGTGAAAACAAGAGATAAGGGGTTTGTTCTGAAACAGCTGAGCCAACGAAATTAAAAAGATGTTAGAGCAATAACAACCTGTGTAAGCCTCACTTTCCTGCCTGCATAATGGGGATCGCAGCATCTAATTCCGAGGGCCATCACGCTGTTCATGAACATAGTCAGCATCCAGGCAAGCGCCTGCCACAGCAGATGCTAAAATCCAGCAGGTGCTGGTCTCATTATATCAGCAGTCATTCATCTGACATGCTTCCCATTTTAGTTATGAAATATAATTAAACTTCTGAAAATGATTGATATTCAACTCTTAAGTCTGAAGTACCTTCCTCAAAGACATGAATAGGGAACAATCTGAGATATTCTTATTAATAGTTTCTGCTTTTGTCACTGGGTCAATGTCTGTGGCTCAGAGCTTGCAAGTGTCTTGGAAATATACTTAGAAATGTTTCCATTAGGCCGGGCACGGTGGCTCACACCTGTAATCCCAGCACTTTGAGAGGCCAACGCGGGCAGATCACGAGGTCAGGAGATCGAGACCATCCTGGCTAACACAGTGAAACTCCGTCTCTACTAAAAAAATACAAAAAATTAGCCGGGCCTGGTGGTGGGCACCTGTAGTCCCAGCTACTCAGGAGGCTGAGGCAGGAGAATGGCGTGAACCCAGGAGGTGGAGCTTGCAGTGAGCCAAGATCGTGCCACTGCACTCCAGCCTGGGCGACAGAATGAGACTCCGTCTCAAAAAAATAAAATAAAATAAAAAAAGTTTCCATTAACTTTCTTTCCCAAACCATTTAGTGTACTGTCTTCATGGGTGTGTTCTTTATAAGACGGTTTGGGGGTTTGGGGTGGTTTTTCCAGTGGCTTCTCTGTGCATGTTTCTCCGATGTTCTTCAGCTGTGCACAGTCCCTGACTATGGGGAGCTTGGAGAGCATTTGCTCTGCCTCCTACGCTGACAATTCTTTATGAGGCTTTCCCGCAAACACCACCTTACACAAAGGCTCAGGTTGGTACCCAAGCGCTGGCCAGAAACACAGCATATCTTTTTCATGGCGTATCTCCCCTCAGGTGGAGGCCAGGGCACCATGGTTGGGTGCGACATCCATGGGTATGGTTGGATAGATGTACCCTTCAACGAGAGACACCGTGATCGCTGCACACACCATTGCTATTTCCTCACCATTGGTGGAGGTCACGGGGGTCACCTCAGGTCCTCCCTTTCCTCTCCTACCCTGGTTCTAGTCATCATCTCCAAAGGTCCAAGCTCATGCTGGCCTCTGCCTCTGTTCATGTCTCATCTTCACTCAGCATCCAGATACCTTTTATAGCAAAATCCTGTCATTTACCCACTTAGAAGTTTCCAGAGACCAAAAACTTCCCACCACTCTTAGGATACAATCTGAGCTATTTAATATGTGTAAGTCTCCATGATGCAGCCCACCCGCCTTTCTGGTTCATTGGGACCATGCTCTTGCTGGCTTGCGGCACAGCCAGCCTGGCATTCACTGTCCCCAGACACACCAGGCTCCTTCCTGCACAGGGCTGTGACACCTTCCTCCTCTGCCCCCCAGACTCAACAGGAGAACTTTGCCTCCTTCCTCCAGCTACGTTCATGTTCCAGCTCAATCTTTTCTTGGAAGGGGAGGCTTTAACAATACAATGTAAAATATAACACCCACCCCTGTCCTATCACCCTATTTTATATTCTTCATGGTATCTAACAATATCCGAAGTTATGGTGTTCATTTATTTACTTATTTTATTGTTTACTTGTTTTCGTGTTTATTGTCATCCTCATTTTCCAACTCCTTCCCACAGGGACTTCCCTATCTAGTTTAAAGCTTTTTCCTGAGTGTCTAGTGCTGTATTAAACATATAACACAATGTAATACACATGTAATAAACACATAATCACCCCAACCTGCTTACTTAAGAAAATGACTTTTTGAAGACAAATTTAGGTATTTTTAAGGATACGTTATAATCATTACTATTTCCAGAATAGATATTATCCACCAAATAAATAAAATAAATAAGCATATGATATTATTTTGCACAGGCTCTAGTTGTAACCATTAAAATAAATTAGTAGCTCGTAGCTAATGACAAAAGGAGACATTTTCTGTCACTGGCAAATTCTTGAGAAGAAAATCAATCTTAAGTAACCTGAGTTTTAATTGTATTTGTGTCAGTATTTTCTCTATCTTGATACTTCTCTTAAATTTGCCACTTGGCATGCATGACAAATTATTTAAGCCTTAGCAAATCATGACTTAGATAAGGGTAAAGAGATCACTAAATTTCCTGAATTCAGGGAAAGACTTTTTTTTTTTTTTTTAAAGAACATGTCCCACAGTTATGGAAACAGTGAATCTTACTGAGATTTCACCTGTGGTTGTGTTAAGGGACAGGAAATGGACATAGGATGTTCTGCTAAAAATAATTACATGGTTGTTTCCATGGAAACTGACAAGTGAATCCTTGAATTCTTCTGAAGAACGGGAAAACAAGTAGTCAACTGTCAATCTCCCAAGTTTAGTTGAAGGTCATTTCTATAAACCCCAAATGAATAGCCCATAACAGATCCCAGCTCCTCATGTGAGCTGTGTCAATGGAGATCAATATCCATTGTGCAGGTGCCTATAGGAGCGGCCCGGGGAGGCTGTTGGTCAATACGCCTTCAGGACAAGGCACACGCCGAACCGGAGCTCAGAATTTTAGGACTGAAAGTCCACATGTTCAAATGATTAATAATTAAATACATATCGAACTTTGTGTGCCAAAGATCAACAAAAATATTAAAGACTAAGCTCTTCCCTTAGCTGGTTAGATTTGAAGATGACAACATTTTTAATGGGCTTTCTATTTTAGAGTTTATTCCTTTTAATTTTGAAAAAAAAGCAGGATAACATTCATCATAATAACTGTGGAACATAATATTGTTAAACACTCATGTCTTATTGAGAGACTTCTATGCACTTCCCTGATATTTGAATTAGATCTTTAATATGTAGCTGTAAGAATTTGGGGGCCGGGCGCGGTGGCTCACACTTGTAATCCCAGCACTTTGGGAGGCCGAGGTGGGCGGATCACAAGGTCAGGAGATCAACACCATCCTGGCTAACACGGTGAAACCCCGTCTCTATTAAAAATACAAAAAAAAAAAAAAAAAAAAATTAGCCAGGCGTGGTGGCAGGTGCCTGTAGTCCCAGCTACTCAGGAGGCTGAGGCAGGAGAATGGCGTGAACCCGGGAGGAGGAGCTTGCAGTGAGCAGAGATCGTGCCACTGCACTCCAGCCTGGGCAAAAGAGCGAGACTCCGTCTCAAAAAAAAAAAAAAAAATTTATCATCACACTTTCAACTTCTTTGACAATTCACCCTGTACACATTTATTAATATGCTCCCACATACCTGACTACGTACTGTGATAGGCACTGGAATATTGTAGTGAGAAAACTCACAAAAAAAGGGGAGGGTACCTAAACTCATGGAGACAAATTTGAGTGTTTACATTTAATTGGTTATTTTTTCTTATAGCTCTCTCCTTTTCAGCTTCAAATAACTCTATGTTTCTTTGCTTCTTTTCAATTTAAAATTTCACATCTGGTCATTGCTCTCTGATTTTCCATAGAAAAGACAATTATTTAGTGTCAGGATACTCTAGACGATGACATTTTGGCAAGCAAGTAGTTGTAATGGAAAAATAAATATTGAGCTAAATATCAGAAGATTTATCTGCATCATTGTCTATGTAATCCCACGTCTTCCTTCCTCACGCAAACAAGGAAATGTACTGACTAATTTTTATCACCTTTAAAATAAGAAAAGCTACTTCGTACTCTTTCTCATAGGACGATTGGGAGTTGCAAGTCAGGTGTTTTTCCGAAGTGCCTTGAGAATTGTTACAATAGGTACATGATGTCTTAGAGCATGCCGTGGAGCTTGCACTCAAATCCACCTCCTGACAATCAGCCCCGACTGCACCAGGACGCCCGTGATCTGAGAACCGGCACAGCTTCCTGTCTGGCCTTTGTAACAGGCATTCGGCGAGCCACCTGGGGAGCCCTCGCAAGATCCTCTTTCAAGATGTGCATTTTCCTCCTGACATTTGCCTTTCCTCACCCACCTCACATTCCTCACCATTCATGCTGGCATTGTGCTCATAGACCCTGGCAAAGAGGTGGCAGGTTGCAAAACAGAAATAGCAGGGCTGTTGGCATTCATTCTCCAATAACCTGGCTCTTAGATAAAGGAGATTAGAGAGCACAAAGAAATTACCTTGGACAGAAGCGTGCAGGAGATGTAGGTTTTGCTGCCAACTTCGGGTAAATAGTGTGATGTTGCTGTCTCCATCGTCTTATGTGGCATTAAGATGAAACATTTTTGGGTTATAAATATAAATATCTATTGTATACTACTCAGTAATAAACAGGAGCAAAATATTGACACACTCAAGAATCCGAGTGAATGTGCAGAGAATCATGCTGAGTCAAGAAAACCAATCGCAAAAGTTAACATTCTGTATGATTCATTTTCATGACATTCTTGAGATGACAAGATTATAGATGTGGAGAATAGATCAGTGGCTGCCAAGGGCTAAGGAGCCACTGGGGTGGGAGCGAAGTGGATTTGGCTGTGAAAGGCAGCAGGCGGGACCCTTCTGGTGGCAGATGTTCCCTGTCTGGACCGGGTCGATGCCAACATCCTGGCCAGGAGACTGCATTATGGCTTTGTCAAGACACTACTCCTGCGGTGGGAGGGGATCTCCCTGCAAGATTTCTTACAACTTCATGTGAATCTTCAATGATCTCAAAATAAAAAGTTAAAACATTTATTTATTGCACTGTTTACATTTATACTCACTACACAGCTTTTCATTAACTTTATAAAGATGTAAGAAAAAATAAGCAGGCCGGGTGCGGTGGCTCACGCCTGTAATCCCAGCACTTTGGGAGGCCGAGGCAGGCGGATCACGAGGTCAGGAGATCGAGACCACGGTGAAACCCCGTCTCTACTAAAAATACAAAATAAGTTAGCCAGGCGTGGTGGCGGGTGCCTGTAGTACCAGCTACTCAGGAGACTGAGGCAGGAGAATGGCGTGAACCCGGGAGGCGGAGCTTGCAGTGAGCCGAGATCACGCCACTGCACTCCAGCCTGGGCTACAGAGCAAGACTCCGTCTCAAAAAAAAAATAATAATTAATAATAATAATAATAATAATAGCAAAACCCTGAATACCAGCTTTTGGCTCAGCTGCTATCTATCAGAACTTCTTTTTCTCCATGCATGCTGCGGGCTAGATCTTTAGATGTCCCCCAAGGTTTTCTGTGCCATGACACACACACGTGCCATCAGTTCTAGGGGCTGGGGATTCAAACAGATTTTACTCCTATGATCAGGTTATATCTTAAGGCACCATTGAGCATACAACGCAGAGAGTATCTGTGTGGACTGGACCTATTCCCATGATCCCTTTAAAAGATAAGTTTTCTCTGACTGGTTGCAGAAGGAGAGCTGGGCGTGCAATTTCTGATTCTCTAATTGGATTTAATTGTAGACATGACCTATAAGAAATAAGAGCAGAAGTTCATGCTGGGAAGAGGCTGAGATGGAAATTGAGTAGGCAAGATGAGAAAATGTTTCATGGGACTAAATAGCTGAGCAAACAGCAATGGATGATGTAGAGCTTACAGATTAACCTTGGCTAAATTCTATAATCATTACAAGTGTACACTATTGATGCAAGTTCAATGGATCCAATTAGATAATCAGGAATTAACTTTAGGATATATAAGGGTTGGCTGGGTGAGGTGGCTCACACCTGTAATCCCAGCACTTTGGGAGGCCGAGGTGGGTGGATCACTTGAGGTCAGGAGTTCAGGACCACCCTGGCCAACATGGTGAAACCCCATCTCCAATAAAAAATACAAAATTAGCTGGGCGTGGTGGCGGGCACCTGTAATCCCAGCTACTTGGGATGCTGAGGCAGGAGAACTGCTTGAACCCGGGAGGTGGAAGTTGCAGTGCAGTGAGCCGAGATTGTGCCACTGCACTCCAGCCAGGGCGACAAGAGCAAAACTCCATCTCAAAAAAAAAAAAAAAAAAAAAAAGGGAATATATAAGGGCTTAGTGCCTCATTAAGGAGGCATAAAAATGAAAACATAGAATATTATTTTTGAAGCATAAGTATATTTGATTATACTTACGGATAAGGTTGGATTTTTACTTATGGATAAATACTGTAAAAAATGTAGACCTGCAAGGAATATGGACTAATCTTCCAGCTTTAACAATTACAAATATTTTGGCAATAGTGTCCATCTACTTTACACTTGTTTATTGTGCTTTGCCAAGCAAATCTAAGGGATTGTCTCGACCAGCCCTAAATAGTTCTCCAATAAACATCTCTAATGAATAAGAACTTTTAAAGTTGAATCACCATGTCATTATATCTAACACAATTAAGTCTTTTATCTTATACTGAGCTATTAGTCATTTAAAAATACTTTCTAGTGAAACTATAAAAATTCATGATACACTAAATGAAAAACATGATTCACTTCCTCTGAGAATTATAGTATTGTTACTATAGGTACCTATTTGCACTGAAAAACAAGACAGAAATGCAGAAAAATGTTAATAATGGTTAATTGGTAGTGGGATTTTTGTATTTTTCTTCCTTATGATTTTTCTTATTTTTCTGAATTTTCTGAAATAAGCATGTACTTATTTATGTCTAAAGTATTATTTATAAATAGAAGTTACAGAACATTTCTCTTAGCACAGAAACATATTTAAAAATATTTGATGAAACATCAACATGAATAGCCTTACAGCATCCATAATTTGTACGATATTTCTCAAACACTTTTGCTCCATTAAAGGCTTTGTTTTGATTTGTGACTAAATCTGCAACCTATTGTATTTGACATTGTTGCATTAGAGATATAAAAGTTTCACGTGTATCAAATTACATTAATTTAGCCTTTGTGTAGTGAGTGACAGGTCTACCAAAGCAATCAGCTCAATGTCATCTAAAAGGTAAGTAAAGAGAAAATATGAGGAGGCTTGTAGCTGTTCTATGATTGCTTAGAAGAGAATGGATGTTTTTTATTGAGACTATTTGATTCTTTTATCTTTTCTTCTTTATTAGTCTTGCTAGCGGTCTGTCAATTTTGTTGATCTTTTCAAAAACCAGCTCCTGGATTCATTGATTTTTTTGAAGGGTTTTTGTGTCTCTATCTCCTTCAGTTCTGCTCTGATCTTAGTTATTTCTTGCCTTCTGCTAGCTTTTGAATGTGTTTGCTCTTGCTTCTCTAGTTCTTTTAATTGTGATGTTACGGTGTCAATTTTAGATCTTTCCCGCTTTCTCTTGTGGGAATTTAGTGCTATAAATTTCCCTCTACACTCTGCTTTAAATGTGTCCCAGAGATGCTGGTATGACCAACATGGCACACGTATGCATACGTAACAAACCTGCACATTGTGCACATGTACCCTAGAACTTAAATTTAAAAAAAAAGAAGAGAATGGATGTTAATTTGGAGCTCTCTGTAGAGCAGATTTACTGGAAGTGGCTTTGGAAATAATCAAAATAATGAACTAGCTAGAGGAAGAGCAACTTTCTGTACCAATTTAACACTTACTCATAAACTTCACTTTGCCCGAGGGAACTGAAATGTTTACCAGAGATGCATGTCCAAGCCTTCCAGAGCTCACGCTGAGGTCTCCTCAGTCAACGTTAGCCTTCAGGTGTTGTTACCTACAGGCATAAAGTGTCCAAGTGGTTGATTTGGGAGACTTCCTGAACAAGCTTCCAATCAATTTAGATTTGTAGCTGATTTTGTTTAATCTGAAGACGGCTACACTTGACTTTGCTTCTGGCTTGGTAATTTTCCCATTGCTACTGAAAATCCATATTTAATTTTGAAAAAAAATCACTTCAATTTTCTTGAGAACATTTGTTCCTATTTAATTTTTGGCTTACGGGCCAGAGAAAATAATTTTTTAACTTCTACTAAAAATGTAATACAGTCACAGAATGGCTTACAAGTCTGCATAAAAGTTAACAGGACTGTAAAGTTTAAATTATCCAACATGCCTTTCGAATATTTTAATTTACAGCATTATGGAAAATGATTATTTCTGAAAACCATAATCATTTCTTTGGTGGTTTTTATTCAGATTACAAAGAAAGTCTTATGAAGATAATTTATCAATAAATTTTATAATTTGGTTTCTTAATGTCCTGTGATATTAACTTAATCTACTTAACATTTATTATGTACTTAAGACCTTCCTTAGTGTTTCAGACAGACTCTAACCTATAAAATCTTGTTTTAACTATAACTATTGATCATAACACCGGTATCTATTTGGGATAATGACCTTGTGGCTGGGTTTCATTAACTCGCACTCTGAGTAATTATGCAATAGCACAATATTGCACTTTAGGGAACTTGTATTCATATAACTTGCTGAGCTTTATAGAATACAGTATTTTTGAAGCTATCTTGTTAGGAGGACAGCCTTTTAAACCCATAAACATATAAAATGGACTTTTAAAAATGAGACAAACAGGCCAGGCATGGTGGCTCACACTTGTAACCCCAGCACTTTGGGAGGCCGAGGCAGGTGGATTACTGAAGGTCAGGAGTTCGAGACCAGCCTGGCCAATAGATAGCCCGTCTCTATTAATATGATAATTAGCCGGGTATGCTGGTGGGCGCCTGTAGTCCCAGCTACTCTGGAGGCTGAGGCAGGAGAATCACTTGAACCCGGGAGGTGGAGACTGCAGTGAGCCAAGATCATGCCACTGCACTCCAGCCTGAGTGACAGAGCAAGACTTCATCTCAAAAATAAAATAAAATAAATAAAAATGAGACAAACAGACAAAGAAGTAGTCTATTCGAAGAAACCCTGGAATTATTTCCCAGGTGTAGAGGAGAGCTTGCTAATGGGTAGGGAGGAAGCTGCAGTAAAAATGAAGTGACAATGGCAGCTCTTTTTCATTGTGTGGTATTCAGTGTGGTGAATAATCAGTCATTACCAGAGCAAAAACACAATATATATCATCATTTAATGTTTTTAGCCTTTAAAAAAGAGTGCTGAGAGAATAATGAAAAAAATCCTTTTTAAAACATTTAGGCCAAAATTCTGGCATTTAAGAGACAGAGAAAGCAATTGTGATTATCCCTGGATCCTTGTGAAATGAAATGAAGCAGATTAGCAAAGCCCAGAGTTTCGCGAATGTCCACAAAGTCATGCTTGCCATTCACGATGAGCTCCTGCTTTAACATGCGAGCTCTCCACTTACCTTGCTGATATCTGCACCTTCTAAAACATGGCTTCATTCCCAACAATGTGTATTGTAATTTAATATTAATTTTATTCCTCAAATATATAAAATAGCTTTAAAGTATATTACTAACATTACTATAAACAAGGAGAACTGCTACATGAATTTTAAGCGTATGTGAAACTCTATTTGACTTTAGAATATATCCCACTATGGGGGTGCACTCAAAATACTGTGTCGTAAAGTTCCTGGAAATCCCTCCTCTGCTGTGGCTGTTGTCGTTGATGATGTGACCGACTTGATAGTCTGGCTCACGTTTTCTAGGTTTCATTTTAACTTTAGAACTTGCTCAGTTTCATTTGGATTTTATTATAGTTTTTAAAAATGTGAACTATTTTTTATTATAAAAAATATATAAATGTTTTTATTCTTGTCTACTGTTTCCTCTTTTTCTTTATACGTAAACATTTGTATAGTTTTGGTTATTCTTCTAAGTGCTATTTTTTTCAGATTAAAATAAATATGTGTAACTCGACAGATAATTAGGATTTGCTCTGTCTCCCTTTTATTTTTTCTTTGTCTCTTGATTTACCAATTTATCTAGGTAAATACTTTTATGTGTATAAATATAGACACATAGAGATAGACGTTACCTTTCAGCTGCTTACTTTTTTTACTCAGCAACATACCCTGGAGGTCATTTCCAATTAGGAGGATTCCCCGCTTCCTTTTGGCAGCTGTGTAGCACTTCATTGACTGCTGTTTTTGAACATTTGGGTTTCCAAAATTTTGTTACAATAAAACAACTTGACAATTAGCAGCTTTCTGCATAAGTCAGTTTCTATATTTTCTATTGCAACTTTTGGATAGATTCATGAAAGTGAGTTAGGAGAAAGGTTAAATATACTTGTACTTTTGCTATGTATAGACAAATGGAACTCCATAGAGAATGCTATTGAGCATTCACTGAAGTCATAGATGAAACGGTCTCTTGGGCCAACAGAATGTTCTGCTAATGTTTTGGGGTTTTGACAGTAAACTAATAATGGTATATAAATGAAATTTTTAATTTGTGTGCATTTTGCAATTTAGCTTTTAATTGGTTTAAGGGATATTTTCATTTATTTTCTGTGAACTGCCTATTCATATCTTTGGTACATTTTTCCAACAGGTTGTTAGTTTTCTAAAATTATCAATATTTAGGAGAACTGTCAAGTTTATTCTGACTATACTTACTTCAGTTTTACAAATGAATTTTAGAACAATTTTAAAATCAAGGAAAACAGATATGATCATTGGAATCAGGATAAATTTTAAATTGACTTTAATGAAACCTGTTAATATCGAGACTTCCTTTCCAAAAACATGGTTTGTCTATTTATTTACATTTCTTTTTTTTTAAGTATATGTTAAAGTTTTCTTCATATAAGTTTCACAAAATTCATTAAGCTTCTATTTAGCTATTAATCACTTGAGTCAGTATTGGAAAGACATTCTTTCTTTTCATCAATGTTCCAAATAGAAGTCTGCTTTTCTATTAATTTACTATGTTTCTACTTTGCCACATTTCTAATTAGTTGTAATCATTTTTTATTGATGTTTTTTCCTAAATATTTACTGATGTAGTCTGCATATTGATATTTGTTTTTTGTTTTCCAATTCACGTCCTTTTGTCTTAGTCTGTTTGTGTTGCTTTAAAGGAATACCTGAGGCTGGTTAATTTATAGAGAAAAGAGGTTTGTTTGACTCACAGTTCCTCAGGCTGCACAGGAAGCACAGCGCTGGCATCTGCTTCTGATGAGGGCCTTAGGCTGCTTCACTCATGGCGGAAGGTGGAGAGGAGCTGGCGTGTGCAGAGATCACATGGCAGAGAGGAAGCAAGGGTGGACAGGAGGTGCCAATCTCTTTCACAATCCCGTCTTCTATTAAGCAAATATTTCTCGAATACCTATATATGCCAGGTATTGTTCTAGGGTCTCTGATACATCGGTGAATACACAAGACAAGATCTTTACCCAGAACATGAAACTTGAACTAAAACTTAAGAGGAGGAATTAGCCAAACAAATATTTGAGCAATGAGTGCTTCAGCAAGAGGACTCATTAGGAGAAGGTGCTAAGATGGACTGTGCCTCGTATGCTTGAGAAATGGAAAGGAATCCATTCTATTGGGAGCAGACTAGACAGAGGGAGCAAGGAAAGAATATTGGACAGGTGGGACCATAACTATGTGCACTTTGTAGCATTGGACATTTTAGAAAGTGGTCATATTTGGAGAATTGCTTGAAGGTGAGGCAACAAGATTTCCTGATGGCTTGGATATAAAGTGCAAGAAAAAAATTCCAAATTTTTGTGGAGATAGACTCTCTTGTACAGATAAATGACAATGATAGGTTGGACATCTGTGGGTTTAGCAGTGTTCACACACTTCCTGATAAATTCAAATATTTATTTCTTCAGATTTTGAGATTTTAGATGAATGAATATATGAGTCATTTACATGTTTTTTAAATATATTGTTTGATGCAATAGAGGAGAAATAATCTTAGTCTATAACAAATTGGAAAAGAGTAATTTTTGATTTGTGTTTGCATACAGTTTTTTTTTCTAACAAACATACCCCTAAATCCTTTGAAATCTTTGAGACACTTGAATTCACAGTCATGAACACTGCAGAGAAATAGGTTACTTTTGTTCATTTCATCAGTTTTGGATCGTATTTTGGAAAAAAAGGATGTGATACACATTTTTTTATTTCATTAAAATTATTTTTAAATAATTTTAAGGTCTTTAACCCTAAAATATATGAGGTGACAGAGTTTTGATGTTATTATCCAAGTATAAGTGGGTTCTCATACTTGGGACATCCAAAATACACTTAATAAAATCAGTTTTTTCACTGGAGAATTGCTTATGCCTTCTACCCATGACATCCTTTTGGCACCTACACTATTAATTACTCTCTCTGCTAGAGGCAAGATATGAAAGAGAATAGAAATTGGAGCTTTGTTATATACACTGGCATGCTGACCACGTAAAGCTAACATTTATATAACATATTATTTTTGTGGAATGCATACGTGTCAGGGTAGAATGAACTTGGAGGGCTAGAAGACTAAATAATTGAGTTTCAATTGTGCGGTGATTTTATTGTGTTGATACAAATCTGTTCTCCATTTAACCCTGAACACTGAACCTTGATTGATATGAAGACAAAGATTTTCAACCCCTCCTCTATTTATAAAGTATTGGTGCTGCAGAGTTTTGTTGCATTTTGAAGGGAAACTCTGAAAATTTCTAAACCATTAAACATTGTAATTTTTTTTCTCATCAAAACTTTAAATTCTTTCCTAAATGAAGAACACTTTGAGATGATTAGATGAAAGCACGAAAATGGGTAGTCAACTTGACGTGAGAAGAACGAGAGACCGTGAGGAAAATGAGACTCCAGCTCATCACTTTCTTAGCACACAACGCTGCAAATCACCCGCTCATTTCTCCAAGCTACAGATTTGACTAAGCATAAGAATTTGAATACATTCTTGAACCAATTCGGAGAACTCTAATGTGCATTCTTCTATTTTCCATAATGCGGACGTCGCTTCTCTGACAAGCCTGTATGTGCTCTTTGAGACTCTAGTTCTGGTTCGATTTGTGACCTTAGGCAAATCACATTTTTTTCTATCATAGATTTCTCATCTGTAAAATGATAATGCCATGTTCCCTCACATCAAGACACAAATGACTGTTTAATAGCTGTAAGGCACCATTACACTAAACAGCATAAAATACTAAAGAGAAACAGGCAACCATTCAAAACAAAAATAAAACAAAACTAAAGTCTCATCCACCGTTATGCTTTGGTAGGATTGCTGACTTCTGTCACTTCCTTCCTAAAATCACCCAGCTGAATATGTTTGTGAAAAGATGGACTAAGATGAAACACATCCATGTAACATTTTGCTTCCCTTCTGCCTTTCAGATATGCATGGATACCAACCGGTACCATGTTCACCTGCCATTCTCAGAGACACTGGGCCTCTCTGACCTCTAGGCTCTCATCTCTATGCCTAGCATATCAACAAGCTAAGTTTCCTGTCCCGAAAATCCTGCATATTTGGATAAAGTGTGTCTTTATGAAGGTACACAAAAAGTTTACCTTTGTTCCTATGCATAATTACACAAGGGTGGAGAACACACAAACATTGTGTCACTATCAATATATTGGCTCTTGTTTCTTCTCCATTGCGGTTTTAGAGAGGCAAAATCACTTGATAGATATACAGAAATGTTGGGTTATTTAACGTAGCTGGCAGGAAAATTCCCACCTGTCCCCAGCCTCATTCTCCACTCATTGGCTGATGTCCATTTCCATGGCCTCAAAATTTTTCATAATTCATTGCTGATCAGAAGACCTTAGCTTGTTTCTATCGCCCATTTCACAGACACCTCAGCCCCACACCCATAGACCCATGGAAGTTCAGATCTGAAGCTGGGCTGTGTTTTTTTCTCTGCCTCCTCTATCTCTTCATTCCATGATGACATCTGAAATATAGAAACTGATCTACTGTATTGATAATCTGAATTTCTGTAATTGCCTATTTCTTTTTTTCTATTAGTTTTTAACACAATATAATTTATTTCAGGTCTTAGGGTTTCATTTCCAAATTGGGTTCCTCTTGAGAAAGATTTTTGGAACTTTCTGAAAAAGGCTACCTGGCCCCAACCAAACCCACTGCATCAGCCCATGGGGAGGATCCCAGGTACTTGTATCTTTTAAAGCTCACGGCTGATTTAGCACCCAATGAGGATCCGTACCTTAGGGCAGTGTTGCTTCACAAAGTGTGCAGTTTTGCAAATCATGTATATCAGAGTCTCCTGGAGATTTTATAAAAACGCCAATTCCAAGGCCAAATCCAGAACAGTCTGCAGGACAGCAAGCACCCTCACCCGAAGCCAGTGATCCCCAAACCCAGTCTCTGGTTGTCAGTGGGACGGCACAGGAAGCATTCCGGTCTCCTTTGGGTTTCAGTCCTCTTTGACATCCTGTTCTATACAACCTCACAAAAACCCTCTGTCCTTTCAGGGTCAGAGCATATCAAGCCACTGTGGGCAAGATCACAGTCCTCCAAAAACAGCAAAAGCCTCCTAAGGAAACACGGCTCAATCATGAGCTACGTGTCCCCAGATCAACGCCTTCCCCATCCCACCACAAGGAGGATTGAGAGGTTGCCCAGGGATCCATGTCTGGGAAATCTGCTGCTTGCTCCCACTCCCGTTAAGTGCGTCCTGGCAATTGTTTGTTGAAGAAAACCCCTCCTCTAGCAGAGCACATTGACACTCTGATGTGGACAGGAGCACGTCTCCAGAGTGGACTTTGTGATTCAGGAAGCGTGCACCATCAGAGGTAGCCAGCCTAGCAATTCAGATTATGTCCTCAGCTCCCAATGACCTGGACTTTATCCCATCCTTACCATTAACCACCTGATGATTTTGGGCAAGTTACTTAAACTCTTTGTCCTTCAATCTCCTCAACTGTAAAATAAGGATAGAGGCGTACCTACTTGAGAGGATTTTTGTAAACGTTAAATGAAGGAATACAAATAAAGCCCTTAGACCTAAGACATAGTAAACACTTAATTCTAAATTATAATTATCGTCATTAACATCAGACCAAGAAAAACATATTCCCCAAATACTGGGTAGGAAAGACTCAGAATTCTGGCACTTGTAGGATTTAGAATCAAATCAGAACTTCCTGGCCAATCGTCCATGGTCTTGCATGTATGGTTAAATATGTTTTCAGCTCTTAGGGTAGCTGAGTGGTGCCTGTGTCTACCAGGAACCCTAGGCTGATCTCCCATCTTGAGCAATCTCGTCTAGTTTTCCCAGTGCCTTGTGAAAATATTGCCATTTTTTATGTGTGTCATAATATCAAATATGCAAATATCATCATTTTCTATGTGTACCAGGTCGATGGCACTGGGGAAGCAATGCACATTGAAATGGTTTGGCTTTGTGTCCTCACCCAAATCTCATGTTGAATTGTAATGACCAATGTTGGAGGTGGAGCCTGGCGGGAGGTGACTGGACCATGGGGATGATGTCTAATGGTTTAGCACTATCCCCCTAGTGCTGTCCCGTGATTGAGTTCTCATGAGATCTGGTTGTTTGAAAGTGTATAGCACCTGCCTTTTGCTCTCTCTCTCCTGCTCTGCCATGGTAAGATGTGCCTGCTTCCTCTTCACCTTCTGCCATGATTGTATGTTTCCTGAGGCCTCCCAGCCATGCTTTCTGTACAGCCAGTGGAACTGGGAGTCAATTAAATCTCTTTTCTTCATAAATTACCCAGTCTCAGGTAGGTTCTTATAGCAGTGTGAGAATAGACTAATACACGCATCATCTACGGATGTGCTGAGAGAAGACTGAAGCCTCAAAGTCACCCAAAACTCTGTTGAGTCTTTTGTCAACTCTACTCTATTAACCAATGCCACATCTTGACTATTTGGAGAGATCTAGGCTCAATCTTCCCTTTTTTTCTATATTTTATTATTTTAACCTGGGTAAAGATTACAGATCAATCATCAGACACATGAACTGCAAGCCTCACAGCCTCTGTGAATAAATGAATAAATAAAATTTTAAAAAAGTAGAGAGTAAAGTATAGAGCATAAATAAATCAAATAACTAACAATCAAGATAAGAGAAATTATATACTAATCTAAAATCTGGATTATACAAAAGCTTAACGACACCTAATGATAACAATCATTGACGAAATTATGGATCAATAAGTGTGCTTATACACTGACAGAGAGGATAGAAATGATTAAAAACAACTTTGCAAAAAATAGGTGAAATTGCAGATACACACACTTGAAGTCTCAGATTTTACTAATATAGTAAAATCTCTCACTCTAGAGAACTCATACACACAGAGAAACACATGCCATGTGGTGCCACCATTGGGAACCAACAGCAAGCGTGTCACCAGCTTGGACACTTGGCCCTGGTAGAGTAGATAAATGTCTGCCCTGTCTTTCTGTCTTGTGTATCTCATTTTCCTCAGGATTTCTATTTTTTTTTTTTTTAACCAGGGAGGAAGGGAATCATGGAGGAAGACAGAACTTTTGACTTTTCTTCAATGCAACTGCTTTGTTCCATTTATGGGGGCATTGCCTCTCTCAGCCCAGGTTGCACCTCATCCTGGTGGCCTTGGCTTTGTGTTGCAGACTCCCTGTCCAGTGGCTGAGATGGCCAGCCTTGTACTCCTGGGTTGGGTAGTGTAATCATTGCTGCTTTTCTCATTCCTTGCTGTTAGACATATTTTAATGGGAAACGTGCTGGTCTCTGTTTCCACACTTTCCCCTAGGCACTGCAGTCTCACGTCCTGCACCTGCCTTTTCTATGGTGGATGCTATTTTTTTGTAGAAGACAGATGATATCTTTTTTAACTCGAATATTTAAAGCTCTTAGACAAGTTTTAGGCATTGCATGAATTCTGAGTACGAACCACTTAACAGAAGATGGGGGTTGTATCAGCAGCAGAGCTGGACTGGTCAGTGTTCAGATTTCAAAGTAAATCTCTGCTCCTCTGGTTCTGAGTTTTGTTCTCATCTGCTGCAGCATATTTTGAGCAGAGTTGTGACTCCATCTACATCTGCAAATTTTCCCTGCTGCTGATAGGTTCACATAGCTCTCAAAATACTCTTTGGAAAACTCCTTTTCCTTCAGCAGTAGCTATAGAAGGAGTTTGATTTAAAAAAAAAAATGTCTCTTACTGTTGTTACAGAGAATCTGCCTTTTGGGGGCCCATTGGGGATTCCGTTCTCCTTATTCAGACACCATTTATCGATTGCTTTCTTTTTCTTGGTCAACTTGATTCTGGCCAAGGCAGAGGTCTTGTTGGGGCTTAGGGGCCCTCCATCCCCTATCTGTCCGATTGTGGGCGGCCTGCCGGTGCTCTAAAGGCTCAGTCTGTCTGTCTGATTCTGGGCGGCCTGCCGGCGCTCTAAAGGCTCTGTCTCTCTGTCTGTCTGACTGTGGGCGGCCTGCCGGCGCTCTAAAGGCTCTGTCTGTCTGTCTGTCTGACTGTGGGGCGGCCTGCCGGCGCTCTAAAGGCTCTGTCTGTCTGTCTGACTGTGGGGCGGCCTGCCGGCGCTCTAAAGGCTCTGTCTGTCTGTCTGACTGTGGGCGGCCTGCCGGCGCTCTAAAGGCTCTGTCTGTCTGTCTGTCTGACTGCGGGCGGCCTGCCGGTGCTCTAAAGGTTCTGTCTGTCTGTCTGTCTGACTGTGGGCGGCCTGCCGGTGCTCTAAAGGTTCTGTCAGTCTGTCTGTCTGACTGTGGGGCCTGCCGGCGCTCTAAAGTCTCTGTCTGTCTGTCTGTCTGACTGTGGGCGGCCTGCCGGTGCTCTAAAGGTTCTGTCTGTCTGTCTGACTGTGGGCGGCCTGCCGGCGCTCTAAAGGCTCTGTCTGTCTGTCTGACTGTGGACGGCCTGCCGGTGCTCTAAAGGTTCTGTCTGTCTGTCTGTCTGACTGTGGGCGGCCTGCCGGTGCTCTAAAGGTTCTGTCAGTCTGTCTGTCTGACTGTGGGGCCTGCCGGCGCTCTAAAGGCTCTGTCTGTCTGTCTGACTGTGGGGCGGCCTGCCGGCGCTCTAAAGGCTCTGTCTGTCTGTCTGACTGTGGACGGCCTGCCGGTGCTCTAAAGGCTCTGTCTGTCTGTCTGTGGACGGCCTGCCGGTGCTCTAAAGGTTCTGTCTGTCTGTCTGTCTGACTGTGGGCGGCCTGCCGGTTCTCTAAAGGCTCTGTCAGTCTGTCTGTCTGACTGTGGGGCCTGCCGGCGCTCTAAAGGCTCTGTCTGTCTGTCTGACTGTGGGACCTGCCGGCGCTCTAAAGGCTCTGTCGCACCTTGTCTTGAATTAAGGATCCGCTGCAGAGTAGATAAATTCACCCAATCTCGAGAGTCCTCATCTCTAAAGTGAAGGTTAAGAATTTTAATCTTTAAATGAGTGTATAGAGAGTAACAAAAACAAAATCCAGAAATAACAAAGGTTAATTATTTTGTCATTTTAGCTCCTAGTCTATTTTAAATAAATAAATATTTAAATATACCTAACATCAAACCATCCCCCTCTCCCATACACCAAGAGTTGACCACTGTCATGATTTTGATGTTCTTCCAAGTCATTTATTTCACATATTCACAAATACATTCATTTACAGTATGTGGTATTGTTCCTCTTTATGTTTAAATTTTCTTTACCCAAATATCTTTTTTTTTTTTTTTCTTTGACACAGGCTGTCTTTCTGTTGCCCAGGCTGTAGTGCAGTAGCATGAACATAGACGGCTCACTGCAGCCTCAACCTCCTGGGCTCAAGTGATCCTCCCACTCTAGCCTCCCAAAGTGCTGGGATTACAAGATGACCTTGGTCTACATCTTGTTTTGAACTCAGCAGTACGTGTTATTAATCTATCCATGTTGATGCATAATTTTAATTCATCCCATTTCACTGCCATGGGGTTTCAGTGATGAGTATTCCACATTTCATCTGTGTATTTCCCTACAAATGGTTATAAAACTTATTTTCAATTCTAGTTATTAGCAAAAATGCTGCAATGGTCGTTCTCTGCATGTATTCTTGAACAAATGTGTTAAAATTATCCAAAGTTTTCAGACTTTCTTCTACATATATGGCAAATGTTGTTATCCTGGTGTTTACATATAGATATATTGTAATTGATTGAATATTATTGATAAAATTATCAGAATGTTATGCCTCAGATAGTTATATCATGAGTATGTACACCAAGAATAATAGAATAGGTGCTATTCTGTCTCAATATTAAAATTAGAAATAATGTTTTCATAATGCCAGTGTATTCTCCCACAATTAATGTTAATAGCAAAGAAAAGGTTTTCTTCACCTCACCCAAGTCATCAAATGTAGTATCACCAATAGTGAGAAGATCTCACCTTATTTTCTTTGATGTGGCATGTTATGAGGAAGACAGCATGTGCTGAATCGTTCTTGCCAACTTAGTTTAACCTGAATCTAATCAAGATGTCAGAGTTAATATTCAGCTTAGATAAATCAAGGAGTCAGATAAACAAGTTTAAAAAAGTAAATGAAAATAGTCAGACAAATCTAGAATCTAAAATAAATTATAGAACAATTGCTCTGGTTGCTTCAAAAGTCAAAAACATCAAAAAATTATGTGGTAAAACTGTTCAAAATTAAAAGAAGCTGAAAAGATATAATATTCAGAAAAAATATTTTAAAAGATTTAGCCATAAAAGTCACTTTTGAGGTAATCGGAAACACAGGCATGTGGCTGGATAGTGGATGATATTAAGGACCTGCTGTTAATTTTCTTAGACTTGATAACAACATTTGGCTGTGCTGGGAAATATCCTTATTTTTAGGAAACAAAAGCTGAGGTATTTATGGTAAGTTGTCATGATGTCCATAAGTTACTCTCAAATGACTCAGAAAAATTGAAATATATGCATATTCATAGATGGATAAACATCTAGAACAAATATGGCAAATTATTAACAAGTATTGTATCCATGCGGTTGGTATCAGTTGATACCTATGTCATTCTTTCACTTTTTCTGCATTTTTGCATTACACATTTTTTGTTTTAAATGGAGCTCTGGAAATGGAAATTCATTATAGTAAAACATAGAATAGACTGTACCCTACAAATAGGCTTAATTATATTTTGCAATCGCCAATGAAATAATATTAGAATGAAAGGAAGGGAAAAAACTGTTGACTTTTCCCATGATAATCAAATAAAGCAATAAAGTGGGCAGATTCTTTTCTCCTTTTTAGTAAATAATGATGACCTCTTGAGGTCAGGCCACCAGCCTTTGGCCAAATGGCCAGTTTCCTCTGAAAACTGAGCATTCAGATCCCTAGGATACAATGTTCCTGCTGGAGTGAAGGTGGCCTGAGGGGCAGAATGCTATTCACCTGGGCTTATAATAAATTCACAAAATGTAGCCTCTCTCTGATGATTTGATTCCAGAACACTCTCCTCTGTCTTTGCAATCTCCTTTTGATAAGTCACATGAACCTTCACGATGGAGAAAAACCATGTGCTTCAGGAGCACAAAATACAGCAGAAACAGAAATAATAAACGGCAGCAAAAGCAAAGCATAAAACAGACCGCAAAATGAAGTTGACTATGTCATTTTTCTTTTGTCTAATAGCCGTATGAAAACAAATCTGATCTGTTTGTTTATCTTGACCTTTTTATAAAGGTAAAGAGTGAGCAGTGCCTGTTAGATAGGAATGTGATATTGCTCTCTTAATTGTAAATAGTATTCATAGTTGTATTAAGTACAAATTTATTTCAACTATTGCAATCAAAGAGTAGCTTTGATTTGTATTGTTTAGTTCCCCTATTTCTGTTATTTCGCTATTAAAATTATGCACAGTGGTCAGGCCTTCCCCCACTTTTTCTGAAGGATGTTACAGCTATGGTCTGAAGCATTCCACATTCATTCGTATTCCTGTATTTATTCCTCATTCAGGATTTGTTTGCTCTGACTAGTATTTGGTATGGCTAATGTCTCACTTTCATTACCAAGAAGTCCATAAGTTCTAAAGAAACCAATAAATTTACCATTCAAAATTGTGTAACATGTGTGTCTTAAATATAGTAAGTGCACTTATGCATTTCACATAGAAAGTGTTATTTCAATATTAATTAAGAATTTTACTTTTTTACACCTGCTCGTTTGGGGGAATCTCCGTGATTATCCAGGTGGTCTTTTTGAAATGTCTAAATAATCTGGTGCATATTTTGTGCATGAAATTTTAGACTACTGTAACCAAAGATCTGTTTCCTGTGTTAAACCATAGAATTAATTATGTAATAAAATAGTCATCTACAAAGTCATCACAAAATACATAAAATTAGCACAGTACATTGCTCTGTTGATGAAACTACAAGCTTTAACATGTTGTTTTACAGAATGAGTATTGTTTAATAAAGACCTGTCATATCATGTGGTTTAAATACAGATAATTTATTAAGCTCATGGCTTCCTTTCCATACATAAATAATTAAAATATTAAATATTGATTATACATTTGTAGTATCTTGTGAATTTCATCCTTTGAATATAACTTATACATAAATAAAAAAGTAAACTACCAGTTACAAAAACTCATTATTTTCTGCTCTAAAGTCATTGATAAACAGGGACATGCGTGTTGCTTTTGCTTACTGTATCATCATTAACCTTTTCTAAAAATGGAGATAAAATTTACAAAGAATGAAATTTACAGAACTGAGGGGCACATTTGATGAGTTTAGATAAATGTTCACATGCCAATCGCTGTGGGAAATAGTCCCATCACACCACAAAGGTTCTCCTGCCCACGTCAGCAGTCCTCACTTCTCCACGCTGCTCTGATTTCCATCCCTGGGTTATGCATTCATTTTGTCTGTTCTTGATCACCACATAAATGAACCATATCATAGGCACTATTTTGTGATAAGCTTCCATTTCTTTTAGAGTAAGTCCTGGCATTCGTCCATATAGATGCAAGAGTCAGTAGTTCATTCTTTTTAGTTCATTGTGTAAAACACAATTTAGTTTTCCATTCTCCTGTTGATAGACATTTGGTTTCTTTTCAGTTTTGACTATTATAAATAAATCAGCTATAAACATTCTTGGACAAGTTATTTTGTCAATGTATGCTTTTATTTTTCCTGGATGGATATTGAGAAATGAATTTGTGTGTGTTTAAATGTACATGAGAAACTTCCAAAGCATTTTCAAAAGTTGTTTTATGGCCGAGTGTGGTGGCTCACACCTGTAATCCCAGCACTTTGGGAGGCCGAGGTGGGTGGATCGCCTGAGGTCAGGAGTTCGAGACCAGCCTGGCCAATATAGTGAAACCCTGTCTCTACTAAAAATACAAAAAATTAGCCGGGCGTGGTGGTGGGTGCCTGTAATCCCAGCTACTCTGGAGGCTGAGGCAGGAGAATCGCTTGAACCTGGGAGGTGGAGGCTGCAGGGAGCCGAGATTGTGCCACTGCACGCCAGCCTGGGCAACAAGAGCAAAACTCCGTCTCAAAAAAAAAAAAAAAAAAATTGTTTCATTGCGCAGACATCACAACCAAGGATGAGGGTTCTGGCTGTTCCATATTTTCCCAGTATACATTTCTGCAAGCTTTAAAAGAGATATACATTCTAATAGCTACAAAATGTTACTTTACCGTCGTCTTAATATACATTTTCCTAACAACTAATTGCACTAATTTCCTGTGGTTGCCATAAGAATGTACCCCAAACTAGGTGTCTTAAAATAACAAAAATTTGTTCTCTTAGTGTTCTATGCTAGAAGTCTGAACTGTAGATATTAGCGGAGCTGGTTTATCTGGAGGCTCCAAGGAAGACGAGGTTCTGTGCCTTTGTTCTGCTGTCTGGCAGCTGATGGCAACCCTGGCCTTCCTTCATCTTGAAGATGGAGCCTTCTGTCTCTGCCCCTGTGGTCATGTGGCCTTCTCTTCTTCCCTTACTCTTCTCCCTTCTTATAAGGATGCCAGTCATTTTGGATTTGGGGCCTGTCTTATCCAAAATGGCTTCATCTTAACCTAGCTGATTAAATCCACAAAACTGTTTTTCCAAATTAGGTCACAGTCTGCAGTTCTAGAATTTTGGAGTGATGCTATTCAACCTGGTGCACTCATGCTAAACACCTATTCATGTGCTTATTTGTCTTTTCTACATGTCCTTATACGTTTTGTTTGTTCAAATCTTCTGCTTTCATTAATTTTTTTTCTGGGGAAAAAGGATGTTTTATTATTGATTCATAGAGATTATTTTTATATTCTTAATAAAAGCTTTTTGTCATATACATGAATATGTTGAGATTTTAAAAATATATACATACATATACATATAAAATCTCAAATAATATGTTTGAGTCAGTGTCTTGCCTATTTATTTTTAACAAGGTCTTTTGATGAAAAGAAGATTTTAATTTTGCTTAAGCCCAATTTATTATTTCCTTGAATATGGTTAGTATGTTTTATACTATATATGTTACATTATGAAGATATTTTGCACTTTTTGTCTAGAAGAATTATAGTTTTAAATTTTATCTTTATGTCTATTGTGAATTAATTTTGTGTATGGCGAGTAAGGAGCTGAGCTTCACTTTTGTTTCTACATATAGTACACTTATTTCAGCAATATTTCTTGCAAAGATTATCCTTTTCCTGTTGAATCTCATTACCAAATTTATTGGAAAAGTGTTGGCTCTAGAAGTGTGAAACTTTGTTTCGGCAACTTTGATTTATTTGCTTATGCTTTTGCCAATACCACATTGACTCGATAATAGTAGTTTTATAGTAAGTCTTAGAATCAGATAGTAGTAGTTCTCCAGCTTTGTTCTTTTTCAAATTCATTTAGCTATTCTAGACCCTTTGAATTTCCGCATATATATTTTAAATTATCATTTAAATATTTATAAAAGGCCTTCTGTGGTTTTGATTAGCACTTTCTGAAATCTATAGATCAGTTTAGTGAGGACACAAACCTTAGCTATTCTGCAATGAATACATATTCAAAAATATGTTGCACATGATAAACATACAATTTTTATTTGCATGTTTATATAGTAAAAAATCAAAATGAAAAAATCTAAAGCAAAAAACTTTTGAGTCTTGCAATCCAGGACCAGGATCTATGTCTTTTATTATCGACATCTTTTAAATGCATTGTCCTTTTCAGTTTCAAGGTCTTGCATATCTTTAGAGCTTTTGACTGTAGTTAATAACAATGTAATATATTCTTGAAAATTGCCAAGAGAGTAAATTTTAGGTGTTTTCACTACAAAAGAATGATAAGTCTATGAGGTAATGCGTATGTTAATTAGATTGACTTAACCATTCCACAATGTACACATATTTCAAAACAACATGTTGCATATGACAAATGCATATAATTTTTGCCAATTAATAAAGAAGCATACATTGAGATGACTTATGCTAAAAAAAACCCACATTTCCCACTTCTGGTACTTCTTTTCATATGGAAAGATACTCATGCGATATAAGCCTTGACCCGGACCAGAGCTGCACCCCTCAAAGTTAAACAGAAAACATGAGAGCAGACAGCTCCGTCTTGCCTTGGATAATGGGAGATCATTAGACATTTCACTACTGGGCATGTTACTGGTTTTGATTAGATGCCTTAGTTTGTTGATTTTTTACTATAAATTGGTATTTAATTTTGTTAAATAATTTCTGCACCTTTTCTTTATGGGGTAAATGGCAATGATTTAGTTTTGAAGGTTAAATCCACTTTGCGGTGCTGAGATAAACTTTATTTGATCATGATGCATTATTCTTTTTTTGCGTATTGCTCATTTCAATTTGCATCTATATTTTCTGAAAGTGTTTTCTTGATTTGGTGTTAAGGTATGCTGCTTTTATAAATTGAGGGGAAATAGTTCTGTCTTTATCTAACTCCCGAAATACATTGTGTAACAGTGGTGTTATTTCTTCCTTAGATGTTTCATATAATTCACTAGTGAAGAATTGGATATAGAGTCTCATTTTTGAAAGGAACTTTGATTTCATATCTTACCTTAATAGATACAGAGCTATTCCAGATTTGTTATTTCTTCTTCAGTCATTTTGCTAAGTTACGTTTTTAAGGGATTTTGTCACATTATCTAAATTGCAGAATTTATTAGCATAAAGTTATTTATAATATTATTCTATTATATTAATAATTACAGCATCTGCAGTTATACCCTTTAATTAATATTAATGATTCTTTGTGATATTTGATATTTATATTTTCCTGATGAATTCACCATTTTACCAACATTAAATGTCTCTCTTCATCTTAGAAAATCCACCTTGTGTTGAAGTCTATTTTGTCTGATATTAACGTAGCCACAGAAACTTTCCTATAATTCCTTCCTTTTCCTTATGGCTTCTGTAATTTATTTCTTACACTTCCTTTTATTTTCAACTTGTCTTGGTAGATTTGTATTTAAGGTTTGTCTCCATTGCAGAAAACATATAGTTGAATTTACATTTTTTCTAATTTGACAATCTCTGCTTTTTAAATAGTATTGTTTAATCCATTTATTATAACTTTATATGATTGAATTTGTCAATCATATTACTTTTTATTCTCTATTTTTCCCATCTTTTTTTGTATTCCTCACTTCCTCCTTCCTTGCCTTATTTTGTGTTAATCAAAATATTATATTTTAATTCTTCAGCTGAGTTTAGCTATATTCATTTATATAGCTAAATAATCACAAGAATTTTCTCCAACTTGGAAACAAATAATTTACAGATTCAAGAGTCTTGGCCAATAATAAGCAGACTAAATACAATGGGAGCCACACTGAGATGCATCAGAGTCAAATTACTGAAAACCAAAGTGCCAGTGGTGGATTTAGGGACCTCACCGTGCATTTTTATGCTGTTGCTGTCTAATCTGAGTTAATATTGTACCTCCTCACATAAAACATAAGACGCTTAGAACGGTGTAACTCCACGTGTTTCCTCTGTTCCTGTCGTTTGACCCCTAAGACAATAAGACATTTTTTCTTTAAGAAATCTGTTGCCTCTTAAAGAAATTTAGGACAGTCTCCATATTTATATGCACAATCACCAGTTTTCCTCTTCTTCACTCCTTTCTATAGATCTGACTTTTCACATGGTGCTATTTTTTCCCAGCCTGAAGAACTTCCTTTAGCATTTTTTGTTAGTGCAGATTTACTGGTGATAAATGTTCCCACTTTTAGTGATCTCAAAATGTCCTTATTTCAGATTCATTCATAAGGGATATTTTTGCTGGATATATAGTTATGAGTTTATTGCTTTTCTCTCTATTTAAATATAATAATCCCCTCTATTTTTGCCTTCATTATTTCTGCTGAAACGTCAGACATATTTTGCATCTCTGTTCCCCTGTATGTAATGTGAATTTTTCATCTTTAGCTGTTTTAATTATTTCTCTTCATGCTTGTTTTAGAGTTCTTTCACCCAGAGGGGCCTGAAGCGTTTTGTTTTACTTTTGGTTTGTTTGTTGGTTTTGGTTCTGAGTTAAATAGCTGGCATGTGAAGGAGGCGTCATTGATGTCCATCATATTTCCTTTTGTTTGGTATCGCCCCAACGCTATCCTGAAAATGCTTTACAAATTAAGAGTTTGAAGCTCTACATTTTATTTCAGTGATTCAGTCACTGAGGCTCAGAGTTTAAGTGATCTGCCCAATATAATAGCAATAAATTGTGGAAGTCTGGCTTTCATTATTTAACCATTTCACACATTTTGAAAGAGGAAAAAATAGTAGTACCATAAATTTTATTTCGGAAAATAGAAGAAAAAGGAGGACTCTAAAAATGTCTGTTGTCCTTAATGAGACCTAACTTTGAGGTTTTTTACAATTTGCTATTTCATAAATAATAAGTGGGAAACTGTTTATTCAACAGAGTAGCTTGCCTACTTTTTAAAATTTGAATTGACCCCACACTACTCTGCAATACAGGAAAAATAATTAGAATTATTCTGAATGTTATTTTCAATGCAATTAAAGAAGGATATAGTTTATGATTTTTATTTATTCAGATTTGATTTCCTGCAATAGGTTGTATCCATCAAAACTAGTTTAATATTGATATTTACTAGATAATTTATTTGTGCTCTTAACAATACCACTTTTGGTGCATTTCTTTGATATAAAACATTTAAATTTCTCTTTCTGTCTGCAGAGCCAGTTCAAGAAAAGGAAAGCACCCAGCTGAGAGCATCACGGGGTCTCCTCCGTGGTCCAGCGCAGGGGAGCTGTGGGTGGATGCCAGACTGTGTCATGCTGGTGTCATGCTACTGCCTTTGTGCCGGAGGCTCTTGTGGGAAGCCCTTTTGGCACCTCTCCTGAAGGCTGTGCATTCGTTCACCTCCCCTTTCCTATTGAGAAAGAGGATCTCAGGTCACAGGGAAGCAGAGTTTCTTCCACTCATACAGGGAATAGAAAATACCGCCACCCTCCACTACCCCATACACATTGGCCTCCTACTGTATTGTACTATAAAACCATGTCTCTTCATTCTGGTCACTACAATGGAAACCTCCTGTTAACTGAAATAAAGAGGGTAGGACTTGGACTAGAGGAGGGGAGATATTAAATCCTGCTCAGACTGTGCCATCCAAGACCTTAACCAGTAGGAATGTTTTTTGACCTCATGAGCCTATTTTCTTGTTTGTAAAAATAAGCATAATGACGTGGTTAACATATTATCTGAATGCCACAGGTAAGAGGCATCCTGCCTCATCATTTGCCTGAACTCTCAGGATATTCAAAAATCCTCATTTCAGAATTCTTCTAGTGCTACAGTTACGTCCTCCTTCTTTCTGCCATGGAAACTGTCGTCACTAACCTCTACCCCTCACCCATGTTTGGGTCTCATTTGTGTCCCAGTAGTTTTTGTGTCAAATGTGGATGGTGCAGCTATTTTAGTCCTTAGATTAAAAGAGAGAGGTATTTTAGCTTTTAATGGAATCATTGAAAGAATAACCTCTGAGGAAGACATTTCAAAACAAATTAAAAATACTACAACTCAGTATAAGAATTTCATTTAGACTTTAAAATTAGCTGAATATATTCTGGCAGAATGATATTTATTTGTGGGACTCCTAACAGTCCTAACATATCTGTAGGGACTTTCAAACACAGGACCAGTAAATGTGATATTCTCTAAGGTTATGAAACATAATAAAAAGATCCAAACACCTAAAAACACCAGCCTGTGCTATTCCTTTTTGCTGTTCTATTTATCATCACCATCATCATCACCATCACAATCATCATCATCCCCATCATCATTTTTGTGCAGCAATTATGAGAAAAAAACCTTATAAATAGAGTTTTCTGTTAACTTATATTGAAGGTGTTAGGTTTTCTAAAAGTTGGATAGACATCCAATGAAGCTAAGAGCTAGGCCATTTGTCCTATACTACCCATCACAGATTTGATCTATCAATCATCAAATATCTTCTAAATGTCTGGGATTATGCTATGTGAAGCCTGAGTGCTCTGGAGAGCTCTCAACTCAGTGAAATTCAATTTCCAATGTACATGTTGAGAATCTACCACATGCAAAAGACTGTCTAGATACCATTGAGAGTACACAAAGCTGCAAAGCCTTCTTCTCAAGAGGAGTTTAATGTTTAAAAGGAGTGATGATATGTAAGCATTGGCCTAAAATTGTATATGACCCTCCAACTGTATATAACATGAAATCACAAGTGTCAGAGGGTCCGCAGCAGAGATTCTGTTTGTTCTTTAAAAAAATCATCAAAAGACATTGTTAAAAAATAAATAGGCAAGAAAAAGACCCAAATAAATTATTTAAGATACAGATATATCTGCCTAATGCTTGAAAGTTGAGCAACACACTTTGGGGAAAAATATAGTTTCGGTTATAAAAGACTAGAACTTCACTCTCTGATTTTGTGATTTCATTACAGAAATGGGCAAGTTCTTACAAAATTTAACATTGCCATTCTCACTAAATATTTTAAACATATTTAGTAACTTCTATTTTAATATCTTACATACTTGGTGAAGATTACTTGAGTATGAAGGCATCATTAGCCAGACAAATGATCAGAGCAAGGCTGCTGTATTTGTCTGTTCTCACATTCCCATAAGAAAATATCTGAGACTGGGCAATCTGCAAAGAAAAGAGGTTTAATTGCCTCTCACTTCTGCATGGCTGGTGAGTTCTTAGGAAACTTACTATCATGGCGGAAGGGGCCTCTTCACCTAGTGGCAGGAGAGAGAATGAGTGCCAGCAGGGGAAATGCCAGACACTTATAAAACCATCAGATCTCATGACAACTTACTTACTGTCATGAGAACAGCATGGGGGAAACTGCCCCCATGATTCAATTACCTCCCACTGCATCCCTTCTATGACATGTGGGGTTTATGGGGATTATAATTTAAGATGAGATTTGGGTGGGGACACAACCAAACACAGCAGCTGCCTATCTGCATCCCTTGAACCTATTCTGCCCATATTTCTGTTATTTTTTCCCCAAGTTTCATATAACATATCAACAGGATCACTTCCTAAGTCCCTCAGCAGAAAAAGTGGATTTGAAAACTGACTCTGGTGTGTACTTCTGTATACAAGTCAAATTGCTTACTTTGATAGACAATACGATTTCCTGCAGACACTAATGGTAAAAATTGTAAACTAAGGATGTAAGCAGGTTTTAATCCTTTAAATTTATTCTCAGATAATGGAAATTGAACAAATAACAATTAATCATGTAGTTTGATTGCTGCTTGTCTGTAACTTATTGTTACTCAAGTTCATATTTTACAAACTGTAGTGTAAACAACATCGAACCTTTCTTGAAAAGCAGCTTCAGCTCAGATCTCATCTCAAACATCAAGAGCCTTGACTCCAAAATGGTGTGAATTGGCTGCCATCTGCTGGACCGGGACACGTAAAGGTGAATTCTAGGTTTTATTTAGCGTCCAGGAAAATCAAATCCCAGTCTCAAACAATATAGTCTTAATTAATTTCTCTGAGAATGTCAACATTTACATATATTAAAGATTGAACTTAATTACAATTGCAATTTATTGATTGAGAAGGCACTTCACTATCTTCCAATGCATTCAAGATCATTACAAAATCCTGTTATAAATCAGGGTGGAACATATCACAAGAAAATGACATATGAAATAATTTATATAAGGACTTTTAATATAAAATATCTTTAATACAAAGTATTGTATGTTTTGAGTGCATAATATATTTTAAAAGCCATTGTTAAATATTGTAAAGCATAAAAATACTCATCAGACGCAACAATCCATTTCTTTGTTGCATAGAAAAGAGGACTCTGAGGGAGTCAAGGTAAATCCAGGTAAACCCCAAGACAGTGCCACTGAGAAGGTGCCTTAAGTCAACAGCACAGATGTCATCTCTAAGGAGTGTGTGGGCCGGGGTTCGTGAGGACAATGGTCTTCAGCCTTGACACACGTGGATGTGTGGCTGGAGACCCCAAGTGGAATGGGTGGATTCCAGTGGTACACATCATAAGAAAAATCGTGGAGACTGAGGAGTTAGGAAATAAGTAGAGGGTTAGGTTAGCTGAAACACTGAGTGTGAACAGGGAGGTTGTTGGGAATAAAATGGGAGAGGTAGGTTGGGGCAGGTGCACGGAGGGGCTTGTAAATCACCACCAAGAGTTCAGGCTGCTGGAAGCTTCCAAGGTAAAGCTGGGATTCACTTAGACAAAAGGCAACTGAGTTGACAAACTGAACATCCTTGTTTGTAGAGAACATTTGTGCTACTTATTCAGCAGTTTCCATGACCCAGGCCATATTCTAACTGCAAGAACACAGAGAAATAAGAAGCATCTCCTGCCCTCCAAGGCCTCCATTCTCAGAGCAGAGGCTTCTCGGTCAATGGCTCTGATGCATACACTGTGGCAGAGCAGAAATGTGGACTCTGGAAACTACTGCAGGAACATGAGAAAGAAGCACCTGCCTCTGTCTGGAGATGTTGACCAAACTCCATATGACAGGTGCATCAGTCTAGGTGGGAAACGTAAGCAGAAGTGTTGCAAGCATAGAGGCCAGGGAAAGGCACCCTTGTGGCTCCAGATTTTGTAATGTCACGGAGTCCTAGGTGTGTGGCTCAAGCCCAGGAACAAGTCCAGTGGAGTGGACGCCTGAGGGACTGCCATTAAATACACTCAATGTGTGTCAAAAAGTCTTGGGAGTAACACAGAGATGGTCCACCACTTTGACACTTAAAACTGCGTATGAGTTAGGGAGGTACAGTTTAAAAATGCTGCTGGAGAGACAACCTGGGTTTAATTTAGAACTCTTCAGCACACAGATGGCAATGAAGCCATCCAAGAGGTGAAATTGCATGTGTAAAAAATGCATTGCAGAGAAAGCAGCCCTGACTGCCATTTACTGGGAGTGGGTCAGGCATTGAGGGCCGAGGCACTCTCTTGTTACCATAGAGAGTTTCACAGACACCGCATCAGGCAAGGCCACTCTGTGATGAGCATAGGAAAGATGAGCTTGAGAACACTGGCCAGGCCATGCAGATGGCCCCATGCCCTCCTTCCTGGGCTCGTCTACACACTGTGGCTTCTTTAACACCTTGGCCCGTTCACGCTCTCTACTCTGTAAATGAAATCATAGAGAGAACAATCATAGTTTTCCCAGCTATTGACAGTGCCCAGTCTGGAGCAAACCCATTCTTCCTTGAACCCTACCCCAAATACCCTAATATGACCCCAAGTCCTCTAATAATCCCTATTTCTTCCTCTTACCAAGACACCCTGTGCCCCTCCGGGTGTGCTCTTGTTGTTGCAGTGAACCAGTAACTCACCTTTACCTAAGACAGGGCCACGGGGAGGAGGACGGAGAAGTTGCCACAGGTGGAAAGAATTCAGCAGTGTGGGTTCTTTCCCCTAGGACAGAGCTTCTCAGACTACAGGTAATCTTCAGTGTTGAAATTATATTTGTTTAGGGAAATATAAGATGAATTTGGAGCAGGCGGGGACCAGATCATGAAAGGTATCTTATTTAATGCCATGATATTTTGATTGTATGAGAGGTTTGGAGAGTGAGGAGGTATTGCAGCGTCTTATCTAGGGAGGTGGCATGGTCACTTTAGAGACCCTCTTCTGGAAGCACCTACATGTGCATCAAGGTCACCCAAAGATATTTTAAAAAATGCAGAAGTTGATCCAGTGGAGCTGAGATCCTGTGTTTCACAAAGTTCCAGGTGGGGCTAGGATGGTGGTTCTTGAGGGGTGGTTTCTGCATCAGCAATGTCAGCATCACCTGGAAATTTGTAGGAGTTGCAGATTATCACCTGACACCAGACCACACTGAATGAGAAAGTTGGGACCTGGGATCCTGCAATTGCCTTAAAAAAAAATTAATAGCAAGTTGTGACAGTTAATTGTATGTGTCAATTTGACTTGAGTAGATGGTAAAACGTTATTTCTAGGTGTGTCTGTGAGGGTGTTTCCTACTAAGTTAGCATTTGAATTGCTAGACTGAGTGGAGAAGTTTCACCCTCACCCATGTGGGAGGCAGCATGCAATTTGCTGAGCACCCAGATAGAACAAAAAGCAGAGGAAGGGCAAATTTCCTTTCCTTTCTTGAACTGGGACCACCATCTTCTCCTGCCCTTAAACACTGAATTCCTGGTTCTCAGGCCTTCAGACTCAGTAACATGCAAACCCACAACACCGCCTGTCTGGAGTCCTTTGGACTCATGTGAATGATACATTGGCTTTCCTGGGTCTTATGCTTACTGATGGCAGATGGTGGCATGTCTCAGCCTCCATGATCACATGAGTCGATTCCCATCATCTCCTTCCCTATGGATCCTACTGGTTCTGTTTCTCTGGAGAACCCTTTAACTCCAGGTGATTCTGATGTCCATTAAAGCTTGGGAACATTATTGTTATTGGCATAGTTGAAGCGCGATAGACACAGATGTGGTCCCAGAAGATGCTAAGAAGGAAGAGAATTTTGAGGAGTCACAGTAGTGCTACACGGCCCAGGGCTAAGAGTAGCTCCCAGAACTTCCACCTGCAGCTCTCTGGTGAGATATCAGCCATGTGAACAAACCTACCCCTAATAGAGGCTGGGAGATACAGGGCAGCCATAGCACAAGATGTGTTTGGTTGGACAACTAGCTCTTTCCATCCTGTGTGTAATATTTGGACAAGCTAATCAGGTGCATACCTGTGTTCAGGCAAAGGTAGCACATTCAGAGAAAAGTTAGCCTCATTAATGCAAAATTATGAAGTGGGGTTCCTAAACATATCATGCTTCCCTACTCTGAGCACTAAAACCTTAACTCTAGTATTAACGTCTACCCATCAAGGTATCTATTTTGCTGTAATAGTATCTCCTAGAAAGGCTCTTTAACTTGGAGCCTGTTGGGGACAAAGGAAGAGTTTGCGCAGAATGACTGAATCCACACACTACACCGAAAATATTCAACACTTCAGAGGACACTATAAAGCTCATATAGAGGGTCTTGCACTGGTCCGCAGGGCCTTCTCCATGATGGGCAGGTAAGAATGTAATGACAGTGGCTTTGGGGACATTCCAGAATCTGCTACATACTTCATGCTCCTCTTCACCCCTTCCACCTGTGCTAGGAGTCTTGCTGTATTTCAGGGCAATTATGGTAAATTTGTATTTTTTGAATATGCATTTTATCCCCATGGAATCATTCAGAGCATCACTTCTGTCTAAGCTGCTCCATAGACAGTGGGTGGGGTTGGGATACCTTGTGCCTCAGTGCTGCCCAGGAACCTGCACCCACTGGCCTGCACCTGTGCTCTGGCTGACATCTGTACCTTTGCTGGAGTCAGTGCTCATCACTGAATCAGGGAAGGAGCATTTCAGAGCTTGGTTTTCAGGAAGTGTCTCTCCCTAGTTGAGTTCAGGACAGGAAAGAGCTCTGTTTGAGTAGAGCCATAGATGCTGGTGGAGAATCACCTTCCACAGCTCACCTGAAGCAAAGGTCGAGTTGTGCCTGTAATTCCCTGTATGTCCAGGACTCACCGGATGTCAGTCAGGGTATGTGGAGGGCACCACAGGGTATGGTGCAGGGCACCACCTTCATCCTTCAGCATAGTAAGGAAGAAAGGCATTTACAGAAACAATCTCAATAAAAATGAGATAACATGAAACCAACATACAAAATCAGTTATTTTTTATACATTAATAACAAACTCTTTGAAAACTAAATTAAGAAAGCTATCACATGTACAATAACATAAAGAATTAGTAATAAATTTAACCAAGGAGGTAAAAGAGCTGCACACTGAAAACTATAAAACATAGATGAAAGAAACTGAAAAAGACACAAATAAATAGAAAGATAATTTGCATTCATGGATTGGAAGAATTAAAATTGTTAAAATGTTCCTATTACCCAAAGCTCTCTACAGGATCAATTAAATTTCTATCAAGTTTCCAATGACTTTTTTTTTTACAGAAATAGGAAAAAACCTTCCTAGAATTCATATGGAACCACAAAAGACCCAGAAGAGCCAAATCAATTTTGTGCAAAAAGCAAAACAAAACAAAACAAAACAAAACAAAAAACAAAAAAACCAACTTGGTGACATCACACTTCTCGATTTCAGAATATACTACAAAGCCATAGTGATCAAAATAGCATAGCACTGGCATGCAAACAAATATATAGATCAATGGAAAAAAATAAATAACCCAGAAATAAATCCACATATTTACAATTAATTGATCTTTTACAAAGATGCCAAGAACATACAATGAGGAAACAATAGTCTCTTCAGTAATTCAAGAAACAACAACAAATAATAATAGAGCAATTGAACCTTATCTTACTCTATATACATAAATTAACTCAAAATGGATTAAAGACTTAAATGTAAGACCTGAAATGATAAACTACTAGATTAAAAACATGGGGGAAACACTTACTGACTTTGGTGGAGGCAATGATTTATTGAATATGCCATCAAAAATACACAACAGAAGCAAAAAATGGCAAATGGGATTGCATGAAACTAAAATGCTTCTGTATAGCCAAGGAAACAATCAACAGAGTGAAGAGACACCTGTAGAATGGAAGAAAATATTTGCATATCATACATCTGACAAAATATTAATATTTAAAATGTACACAAAACTCAAACAACTTAACAAATAATCCTATTTTTAAAAATGGGCAAAAAAATTTCAATAGATGTTTCTCAAAGAAGACACACAAATGAACAATAGATATATGAAAAAATGCTTAACATGGCTAATTATCAGGGAAATGCAAATCAAAACCACAATGAGATCTTATCTTGTTTGTTAAAGAGCTATTACTAAAAAGACAAAAGATAACAAGTATTGGTGAGGATGTGAAGACAAGGAAACACTTTCAGACTTTTCTTGGGAATGTAAATTAGTACTCTCATTATGAAAAACAATATAGGAGTTCTTCAAAAAATTAAAAATAGAACGACTGTATGATTCAGCAATCCCACTCTGGGTATAGATCCAAAGGAAATGAGATGAGTGTGTTGAAGAGATATCTGCACTGATAGAATTGCAGCGTTAGTCACAATAGCCAAGATATAAAAATAACCCAAGCATCTACTAACAGATGAATGGTGTCTCCAGAGACAGAACCAATAGGAGATTTTATGCGTGTGTGTGCATGTGTGTGTGTGCATGCACACATATGTACATGAGGAGATATACTACGAGAATCGGCTCCTGCAAGTGTGGAGGCCAAGGAGCCCCACAACTTGCTGTCCATGAACTGGAGAAACAGGAAAGCTGGTGCTGGTATTCAGTCTGAATACATAGTCTGAAGAACTGGGGAAGCTAATGGGGTTATTCTCACTCTGAGGCAGCAGGTCTGAGAAGTGGGGTACTGCTGGGGGAAGCCCCATAATCCAGAAACCCAGGAACCAGGAGCTCCAGTGTCTGAGGGCAGAAGAAGAAGAATGTCTCAGCTCAAGGAAGAGAGCACATTCACCCCCCATTTTGTTCTCCCGGGCCCTCAGTGGTTTGGAGGATGCCTGCCTGCATTACTGAGAGGGAAGCTTCATTACTCAGTCCACTGATTCAAATGCTCATTGCTTCCAGAAACATTCTCACAAGCACATCCAGAAACAATGACATTCCTTAGCTCAGCCAAGCTGATACATAAAATTAACTATCACAAGTAAATTAAAAAAAATGTGGAGGGAAATCCTGCTATTTGCAGCATGGACCAATCTGAATGTTGTTACACTAAGTGAAATAAGCCAGGCACAGAAAGACACATACAACATGATCTCACTCATATGTGAAATCTAAAAACGTTGAGCTCAGAAGCAGGGTAGAGTGGTGGTTACCAGGGCTGGGGAGTCCCGGGAGTGGCATTGGTCAAAGGATACCAAGTTTCAGTTTTAAGATGAATAAGTTCTGGAGATCTAATGTACGGCAGGGTGATTATAGTTAACAATACTCCATTGTGTATTCAAACTGCTAAAAATGGATCTTAACTATTCTCCCCACCCCACCCCCACACACATGTACAAGGCAAACATATGAAGTGTTGGATGTGTTAACTAGCTTGATAATAGTGATCATCTCCCAATGAATACTTATATCAAAGCATCACAATATATACCTCAAATATGCATAATTTTAATTTGTCAGTTATACCCAATAATGCTGAAACACAACCAACTAAAAAAAGTATTAACAAAATGTTCTGAACAGTGCTTGGTTCAGGTTATATTATAATTCTAAAACACAAACCTAATTTCATTAAACTTGTCAGGTAATGGAGATCTGTGTTCAGGAACAAAAATCTCTCAAAACAAAACCTGAAATGGTATTATATACCATTCTGGGCAAGCACAGAAGATTTTGAATAACTCCATCAAAAATGGGTAACAATCTTGATTAGATTCAAGCAGGACTGCTGTAATATTCCCAGCATTTTATACTTTCCGGGTTAAAGCTGATTTGTTTGATCTTGTAGTTTTCATAGGATTTCAAACAGCCAAGTTTCTCTAAGTGTATTTGTGTTAATCTGTTTTCACGCTGCTAATAAAGGCATACCTGAGACTGGGTAATTTATAAAGAAAAAGAGGTTTAATTGACTCACAGTTCCACATGGCTGGGAGGCCTCACAATCGTGGTGGAAGGCGAAGGAGGAGCAAAGTCACATCTTACATGGTGGCAGGCAAAAAAGAGCTTGTGCAGAGGAACTCTCTTTTGTAAAACCATCAGAACTTGGGAGACTTATGATAACAATATGGGGGAAACTGCCCCCAGGACTCAACTATCTCTACCTGGCCCTGCCCTTCACATGTGAAGATTATTACAATTCATGGTGAGATTTGGGTGGGGATACAGCCAAATTATATCAGTATTGTTTTAAATAAGTGTCATGTCCTTGCTAATGTTACAATTAAAAAACAAGGCTTCTTGGTGCTCCACACTTGGGGCTCACCAGCTGGAACACCATGAGGTTTAACAATAGGGAGTACTCAATAAAAGTCACTTGTTCTTATTTTTTAATGAGATATTACTACGAGGGATAGAGAAAGCAGTTTGCGAAGTATACTGAGTAACTGGCTAAAGGATGCTACTGCAGAGATCATGTTTGAGTTTAATGTCAGTATTTTCATGTCTTTTTGACAGTAAAGAATAGGAAGAGGAGAGGAAATTTTTCTTATTAATTAGTTTATGAGAAATTCTAGCAGGACAAATTAACATGAATGGGTGGAATGAATGAAGGCATAGATTAAACAGTTAGGCTATGAGTGGATAATTGTTTTAGCCTGGTAATAGGTATGTGAAAGTTGAGTCTACTTTTGTCTGTGTTAGAAATTTTCCACAATAATAGGCTTAAAACAAATGAATACAGGAAAAATTTAGGAGAAATAACTCTAGCAGAAAATTTATATATTTGTCAAATAATTTTAAAGGTTAAAAATATTCATTAGCCAGTAATATAGGCAGTGTTTTGACATGTCCTCAATGTTATTAATATCTTTGCTTTTAAATAAAACAAAACAAAACAACAAAACTCATCAGCAAAACAACTTTGAGATTGATAGAAAAAACCCTGACGACGTGAAATAGTTTAAAAAAGTCATTATAAGTTAGTGTATTATAACAGTACTTCTTATTAAAAAAAATCTATTTACATGTCTTTTACCCAAAGTAGCATGTTTTTGCTAAGAAAATATATTTTTCACCAGTAAAGAGATTAAACATGGAGTATTTACTTCTCCCAGAAATGCCTCCCAAGCTCGGATTTTGTATTCATTGGAATTAAAATGACAATTTCTAAAGCTTGGTTATTTTTTTCTAGAGATGTGTATTTGATGATCTTTACTCCACTAGAGGGCTCTGTGGATAAGAGAAAATACTTAAACTCATAGCATTTAAAGCCATCTTAAATGTACGCCATTTTACCAATTAATTTCTTGGTAATTCTTGTTTCATATTCAGATGTAACTTATTGCATCTGAAACTGCGTAGTATAATTAATATCTTTAGATATTCTTTTTTCTAATTAATTGCTGATAGTTCTTCTGAGAAAGATTTATACTCTAATAAATCTTGTCCTTTTTTTCTTCATTAGGAGTTAGAATCACCAACATATATAGGCGGTACTTATTTCTGAATACAAAATACTTTGATGAGCCAATGGCCTACTTGATAATTCAGATGTCTGCTCTCTCATAATCTAATACTACTTCAAGATTACTTTGAAAACTTTAATAACAGTATTATAACACAAAAGGTATGGGTTCTTAGATGGGATTTATATTCACTCAGACATATTTCCATATTTGTGAGAATATTTATGTCTCATCTAATTTTAAATGACAGAGGCAAGGCTTTTACATAAATAGCAGAATATTCTGGTATCCATCCCTGCATTTGAAGCAATCAGGATTTTTTAAATTTTTACCTGTGGATGTTACAGGCCCCACATAGAGGGAGAAGGGAGGATTCAGTATCCAATGTTCAAACAATGTATTATCTAATAGACCAAGTTTTCCACACAAAATTATAAGGCATGCAAAAAAATAGAGAAAAAAAACCCAGGAGAACACACACAGGAAAAAAGAAGTTGACATACAGTGTCTGTGAAAAAGAACTGATGCAGATTTAAGCAACAAAGACTCCAAAGCAGAACTTACAAATACGCTAAAAGAATTCCAGAAAACCACGCTTAGATAAGTTGAAAAGATGCAGTAAGAATGCTGATAGTCAAATAGAGAAGAGCAGTATAAAGAGATTCAACTTACATAAAAAACAAAAGAAATGAAGTCCTGGATTTCAAAAGCACAATAGCTGAAATGAAAAATTCACTAAGTGGCTCAATGGTAGATTTGAGATAGCAAATAAAACCAAACAAAAATCCAGACAGACAGATTCAGCAAACGTGAAGACAAGAATCATACGTCCAAAGAACAGAAGGGAAAAAAAGATGAAAAAAAATGAGCAGAGCCTCAGAGGAATATCAGACACCACGAAGCATGCCAACAAACGTGATGGGAGTGCCAGGAGAGGAGAGAGAGAAAGGAGCAGAAAGGATATTCAAAGAGTTAACAGCAGAAAACTTCTCACATTGGATGAAAAACATTAAGCTGCATATTTAAGAAGCTCAGTGAACCACACAAGGAAAACGCTGAAAGCCAAACACAAATGGAAAATCTTGAAGGAAGTAACATAACACGTCATGATGTACAAAGGAACCCCAATAAAATTAAGATATGACTTCCTGTCAGAAACAGTGAAGGCCAGAAAGCAATAGAATAACAATCTCAGTGCTGAATGAAACAAAAGAAAGAAAGAAAGAAAGAAAGAAAGAAAGAAAGAAAGAAAGAAAGAAAGAAAGAAAGAAAGAAAGGAATGTTTTTAACACATTGTGTTCAGAAAACTGGATATCCCATGCAAATTATAGTTACATTCCTAACCCACATCATGTACAAAAGTTAACCCAGGCTGAGTGCAGTGGCTCATGTCTGTAATCCCAACACTTTGGGAGGCTGAGGCAGGTGGATTGCCTGAGCCCAAACATTTGAGATCACCCTGGACAACATGGTGAAACCCTGACTCTACAAAAAATTATCTGGGTCTGGTGGAACAGGACTGTGGTCCCAGCTACTCAGGAGGCTAAGGTAGGAAGATCACCTGAACCTTGGGGGTTGAGGTTCCAGTGAGCTGAGTTTGTGCCATCGCACTCCAGCCTGGGCAACACAGTGGGACCCTGTCTCAAAAAACATAAAATAAAATAACTCCAAATCAATCAAAGGTCTACATGTTAGGACTAAAATTCCAAAAGTATCAGAAGAGAATGTAGGCATAAGTCTTCATGACCTTGGCAATGGTTTCTTAGATATGACACTAAAAGCACAAGCAACTGATAACAAAAGTAAATAAATTAGACTTCATCAAGGTTTTTTAAAATGTGCTTTAAAGGATACCATCTAAAAAATAAAAAGATAATCCACCAATGGGAGAAAATATTTGCAAACCATGTATGTGATAAGGAGCTTATGTTCAGAATATGCCCGAGAATTCAGTAATCAGAAGGCAAATAAGCTAATTGAAAAATGTGTGAAAGGTCTGAATAGCTATTTATCTGCAAAAGATACACAAATGGTCAATGAGTACATGAAAAGATGCTCAACAGCATTAGCATTTAGGGAATGCAAATCTAAACAGCAGTGATGTACCTTTTTACAGCCTCTTGGATGGCTATCATCAGAAAGATGGAATAGTAAATGTTGGTGAGGACGTGGAGAAATTGGAACCATCATACCCTCCTGGTGGAAACATAAAACATTGGAGCTTCTTTGAGAAACAGGCTGATAATTCCTCAAAAGCTTACCATGTGACCCAGCAACTCTACGCTCCATTATATATATACACTAAGCAGAAATGACAGCATATGTCTACACAAACATTTGTATATGAATATTTATTATTCATAACAGCCCCAAAGTGAAAATAACTCACATGTACATTACTAATTAATGTGCAAATAAAGTGTCCTATATTTATACAATGGACTATTATTCCGCTGTAAGAAAGAACGCGTTACTAATCCATGCTACAACACGATGAACCTGGTGAACATGCTAGGCGAAAGAAGCCAGTCATGCCAGGTGAAAGAAGACCACATACTGTATGATTTCATTTACATGAAACATCCAGAATAGACAAATCTATGGAGACAGAGTGGATTATTGCTTCCTCAGGGCTGGGGATGGGATTGGATTAAATCAGTGATGACTGTTATAGGGTGCAGGGTGATGTAAATGTTCTGTAATCGATTATGATGATGGCTACAGAACCTTGTGAATATATTGAAAACCATTCAATTGTCCACTTTAAAAGAGTGAATTTTATGGTATTTGAATTATATCTCAAAAAAGTGTTATTAATAAAAAAGAATAAATAAATCACTAGCTAGCATTCTGTAGACTCCATGTATTAAAATGCCTTTAGTCAAAGGATTAATAAGTAGATATAATTAATTGTTTTACCAGATTCTCTTGCTAACGACATTTCCTAATTTCAAACTTTTTGTGTGAACTTAATTAGTAATTTCTAATTTAATAGATAATATACCTTCCCTTTATGCATTAGAAGCCCAGAAAGGGATAATAAGGTACTTGAGGCCATAGTTTGGGAATATTCTTACATTATTAGCCTAAGGGACATGACAGTAAAATGCAAACTATAAGCAACAGGACAAAGACAGCAAGAACAGTCTGGTTTTCATTTATATATATTGTACTAGGAATTTTACTCGTCCTTAAGTTCTCCAAGGGTAGTTCCAGGAGACTTCAAGATGGGTGTCTCTGGGCTGGGGAACTGGCCCACTCCCAGGATGCTTCTGTGCTGTGCATTTGTGCTCCAGCATGCTCAGAGTGTTTGTCCTCTGGCAAACGTGTTCCTCAAATGCGATAGGTGCATTGCATGGTGACGCCCGGCAACGGAGTTTGCCTGTGCCTGCAGCAAGTTTCAGCGAAAGAAGTTCCCCTGTCATTCTCTAATTCCCCACTTCAAAGCATCTGCGCTTGCTGTCTTTCTTGTTGGAACAAGGTGCTCCTGGCTCTTTGCAGCTTCTAGACCTCAGCTCAAACACCACCTCTTCCTTCAGAGAATGTTTCCTGACCTCTGGGTCTAAAGCAGCAATCTCACTTACTCTTTCATACCCTTAATTCATTTTCTTCATATTTATTAAAATCTATAATTATCTTTTTAATCACTTGTCTAATTGCATATTTTAGTATTTTTCCCAATAAATACCAAGGTATATGAGAGTAAGAATCTTTCACTTTTGTCACTATAATTAAAGAATTTAAGGAAATATGTCCAGTAAATATTTGTTGCAAGAATACAGAAAGGATGAACTTATCTGCTTCTACACAACCAGAACATCAGACAAAATGATCCCTGCTGCCATTGCTGAAAAAGGTAAGATTTAGTGTAGTTGGATTTTACAGACAAATGAATACTTCATCTCCATATGAGAAGAACTTTCTAAGTCTTAAAGCTTCCTAAAGATGAGGTGGGTTTACAAAATGTTTCAACAGGTGCTAGGAGGTATTTTAACAAACTTTGAAAGTGTCTAAGTTCATCCTAAACATCCAAGTATAAGAGTCTAAAAAATATTGGTCTGTTTTTATTCTTTGAAAAGGGATGGCTTTATTTAAAAATTAATGATAGAATTATAGAATTAGAGGGCGGGAGCTGGGCACAGGCTAGACAGGCTGTCAGTCAGACTGAAATGGATCCCAATGACAATGGTCTTGTTTTCATTTGTAATTTTTTAAAAATAATGTCAAGCATATAATAAAATTACAATAGGACCAGCTACTCCTATATACTCTTTACACAGCATCCCCCTACTAGTCTAAATTTACATAACTAGCTATTGAACAAGTTGGAGACATCATGTCCCTTTACCCTTCAAAGTGTGTTTCCTAAGGAGGGAGATTTTTCTCTTACATAACCACAAAGCAGTTAACTAAATCAGAACATTTAGCACTGCTTCAATGCCATCATTGAGTAGTCAATGCATACACAAATTCGCTCCTTCTGTCTCTCCACTGTCCTTTAATCTAGAATCGCTTTTCAGTCTTCCTTGTGTCTTTATAATTTAATACTCTTATTATTCTGGTGCTTGTTTTTCTTATGATGAAAACTGTCAGCAGCACTATTTTATGTCTATTTATGGATATATAGATTTTGGGATGTTAATACCTTGGAATCAAATAGCTGGATCAAAGAGTGGAGGAATGTTAACATCAAAAGAAAGTGTCAAGCTGTTTTTCAAAATGGCCATGCCACCTTCATTCCTGCCAATCACGTGTGAGAGTTTGGCTGCTCTAAATCCTGAGCTAACATTGAGATTGATGGTAATTTCAATATTAGCAATTCTGGAGCATATTGCAGCTTTAATTTTCCAAATGACTAATAATGTTGAGCACTTTTCCGTGCTTTACTATCATTGTGTCTGCTTTTGGGACATGTCTCATGAGGCCTCTGCTCATCAAACCTGCTGGGTTGCCTTCACTTTGCGATGTTGTAGGCATTCCTACGTATTCTGTTACCACTTTCTCTGTCAAACATACATATTGTGAATCTTTTCTCCCGATCTGTAGCTTACCTTCTTATTTCCTAGCCAAGATTTTGCTGAGCAAAATGTTTCACTTTTGATGAAATATAACTTTTTTTGACATGGAATTTCATTCTTGTCACCCAGGCTGGAGTGCAATGCCACGATCTCAGTTCACTGCAACCTCTGCCTCCGGGGTTCAAGCGATTCTCCTGCCTCAGCCTCCTGAGTAGCTGGGATTACAGCCAGCTGCCACCACTCCCAGCTAGTATTTTTAGTAGTGACGGGGTTTCACCATGTTGGCCAGGCTGGTCTCCATCTCCTGATGTCAGGTCATCCACCCGCCTCAGCCTCCCAAAGTTCTGGGATTACAGGCGTGAGGCACCACGCCAGGCTGATTAAATATAATTTAAAAAAATATTTTTGACCTCTTATGTCTGAGAAATCCAGAGTGGCAAAGATATTCCCTGTATATTCTTCTAAAATTTTCTAATTTTCACTCTCCTGTTCAGTTCTACTATCCATCTGCTGGTGCTCCCTGAAGGAGTAAAAGGTTTTTCCCCAGGCAGGGCCCCTGAGTGTCTCTCCAAGTGGGGGGCACGGGCTGAGACCACCCCTGTAACAGACCCCCTGCCATTCCAGTGTCTCAGGTGGTGGAGGGGAGTCTCGGGCCCACAGGGAGGAAGAGGTATCCCTGAATAAGCTGCCCGCTGAGAGGGCTCCGCTGGTTGCGTTCTGCCTGGGAAACGAGTCTGTGGGGTAGGACTCTCAGGAAGAACTGACTCTGCTAACACCTTGATTTTAGATTTCCAGCCTCCAAAACTGAAAGAATACATTTCTATCATTTTTTTTTTTTGTCATCCAGAGTGTGGTAATTTGTTGCAGCAACCCAGAGAAACTCACATGGACCCACTGGCACCATGCTACCTCCCTGGACTCTGTGGCTGGGACGTAGGTAATTGAGGTTACCAGTGCCAGTGAATTGTCAGAGGCCCTGAGGTAGCACCTGCCGTGGATGCTGAGGCAGACACCCTCAAGAGGTGTGCTGGCCTCGCCGTGAGGAGTCGCAGGTGCGCCATTGGAAGGGTATGGAATGCCGGGGTGGGCAGGGTGGGGACCTGAGTTTTGATTCCAGACAACCTCGATCTTTCTTGCTTCCAAGCGGCATTAGGAGGAAAGATCCCTGAATGGGTCGGGGTGAAGGTGAAGTCACAGTTGAAAGCATTATGCGTCAAATCTGAAAAAGGGGAAGCCATCGGCTTGAGGGACTGCAGGGAAAGGCTAAGCATGTGTTGACTTTCAAAGAAGGGAAATAGTAAAGTGTGTCATCTGCTCCTGGAGAAGGTCTCACAGAGTGGACATTATGAATTGTGTGGCAGGAATGAGGTCATTAAAAAGATGAAAGGGGCCGGGACCCAGGGCTTGGAGTCTAGGGGTAGGCAGCTTCCTTCCAGTGTCACAGAGAGAAGACACAGGAGAGATGGGGAAGAGCCTCGGGGTGTTCAATTTGCTGGTGACAGGGTCTGGCTCACGGTCAACACATCTCGGTGGGTGTTGACCAATTCTCCACTGGATACCAAGGCCAAGCGCCCTCCCAGTGATCCCCTGAGGGTAAGTGAGTAACAACATCAGGACAGAGTCCACTTCTCTTCCCGTCTTGAACATTTATGGGTGTGGCATAATTTGGTTTTCTGATGTCTCCCCCGAGTTCCACAGTTGCTAACAATTTTCTAACATGCATTTCGAGAACCCATCAGCAATCTCTCCAGTTTCACAGCTCACAATGGTACTGAACATCCCGAGAAAATCCAGCACATTCCAATAAATCTTCTCTTGCTGTTTCCTCACTTATCCAGGACTCCACCTTTCTCTTAACTATTTTTCTTCTCCACTTTGCAACTAGAAAGACATCCTTTTTGAGGGGAAAAGAAAAAGGTGAGGTAAGTAAACTCATGCAAGAATGTTCTAAACTGCGTGTGAAATGGCATGGTTGTTTTCCCCCTGGCCTCACTCCTGGGGTCCCCTGACCCATTCCTTTCCAGGCACCAAGGCCTCCTGGTTTTTCCTCAGGGTCTCTGTGGGTCCTGGCCCCTCCTCCTGGAGTGCTTGTCCTCTGATAAACTTGTGACTTATGCCCTCGAGCTTTTAAGTCATGTTCCTCCTGCTTACAGGGTCGCTGAGAAACCCACAACAATTTTGATTCTGTCACTGCCACCTCCAGCTTTTTCTACCTCCTTTTCCTGATTAATTTTTTTCTTTCTAACAGTTATCACTATCTAAAATACATTATAGGCCAGTGATTTAACTTTATTCCTCTTCCATGATTTATTTTTTCTTCTTAAGATTTACCACTATCTAAACTATGATGACAGCAGCTGTCATATAATAGTTGCTTAATAAAAGCTTATTGAATGAAAGGATAAAATAAAGACTGTGTAGAGCCCTGCTCAGACAAATGAGAAGGTGGCTCATGCAAGAAGTTCTCAAGGATCAGGAGAGAAGAATATTGGGAGTTTAAAAGTGGACAATTGTAGAGGTGGGGTAAGCAGGCCAGGGATGGGAATTAGCATGATGAGGCACGAGTTTCAGGGCTGGAGACGAGGCTGTGATTTAAAGAGGAAAATGTTACAGTTTCCAATGGAAGAGAGCTGTAATAAAGTAAAATAAATTAATATTTTTTAAAAAACCTAAATAGTCTACCCCTATTGTAGGGATTCTAGAAGACTCTAGATTCTAGAATATCCAGATATAGATGTAGTTCCTGGAACTGATGAGTGGACAGTCCCAGCCTCTAGAATTAACTGGAGGCTTACCAAGAGGGATGATAGGTTTACTTTACATGTTAGTACGAAATTTGGAACATATTTCTCATTTTGTGCACATATATATATATATATTTATCTTTTAAAAAATTAGAGATACCATTGTACACTACTGGTAATGGCATTAGACAAATGCATCCCATTCTGTTTTTCACGCAGGTCACCTGTGTGCCTTTCACTTGAGCTCCTCTGAATTTCCGTGATCCAGCCAGTAAAATGCTGAAAATATTAAACAAGGAAATGCAAGTTTTCCATTGTATATATAAACAAACACAGAAATAGAAATGTTCTTCCACTGCCATGTTGGTTTCTTACAGCATCTCTCCCTCTCTTTTCATTCATTTGTTTTTATGGTGGTATGCAAACACTTCGGTTTTGATGACTAATCTCTCTCTCTCTCTCTGTCCCTCATTTTCTTCTCTTTCAGAGCCTTTGCATGTGGAGCAAATGTGATGTCGTCTCTAAACCTTTGCCCTGTGCCTTTATGGAAGGCTATCGCTCACCTACTCAAGCCACCTGCTGTATCCATTGCACAGCGAGCAGTGGGGAGAGACATGATCAAGTTCCTCTAAGTCTCTAGGGGCTGCCAGAACAACAGACATATTTTGTTCATTATTATTTGTTCAAGAATAGCAATAGTCTTCTGGGTTCTTGTTTTGTGAGGGTTGCTGGTTCCTGTGAAGCCTCTTTCACCTGTTCCTTCTGATTTCAGTTTAAATGCTTGCATATCCCACACATCTCTGGGTGTATCTTATGTGCCAGGAGACTTGTGGGAGCTTCCACAAACATTTCATCTTGTTTTAAGTAAGAAGAAGTTACTCTCCTTCCCCATGTTTCAGAAGGTGAAGCTGGAGCTCGGAATCCAGGTGACTTGCTAGGTGTCACACAGACGTACCAGGGACAGGAACCGGGTCATCTAGTTTCAATCCCACTCTTTCCCTTTTAAGAAGTGAGCACATGGGAAGTGGAACATGTACAGGAAAATATACTACTTCTGGCGGTGGGAAGTGAGCAAAAGTAAATACAAAGGCATACTTTATTAAGTGCATGAGCAATCCTTTTTATTAGAACACATGGAAAACAAAGATGATAAAAGGATTTTTCACTCCCTGGACGTTATTGAACTTCAAGCAAAATGCTGCATATCATCTGGTGACCAGGTACCCCACGTTGTCATTTCTTTCTTTCTTGCTGTATTATAGATCACCGAGTCTTATGTAATTACCCACAAAATTGCTGGTGTTGCTTCATGACAGGCATGACAAATCCTCAATAAGGCCTCTTTGGTTGTCTAGAAAATGATTAACCTCTTCCTGCAGCTGTTGGATGTGATATTTAATATATGCAACAAAATACATATGCATGCAACTTCAGCGCATGCCATTTAACAGTATTTTCTTCCTAGGTCAAAGTTTGCCCAGCATGACCTCACCCACTAACTGCATTAGTTTAAAATTTTAGGCCAAAATAAAATAGTGATCTAAAATCATGCAGCTTTTATTCACTGTACAACATGGATATTCATAAGACCCCTCCATAAATGTTTGGTCCAGATCTTTCTTCCACTGAATGAAGTTTGACAATTTGTGACAAGACAGAAAGGAAATTCATTATATTTAGTAATAGAAAACCTATTTCTCATTTTTCACGAGCCAAGCAGCCTCGATGAAATTGCCTAAACCGCTACATCACACTCCTCCACCTTTGTGGTCTGTGAGGTCGCTCACAAGGGTCTTCAATTTCCTTATGTTCACAGCTTGGCATCTGGTAATTTTCAGTATCAGAAAACATAAGGGGGCTATATATTTTTTCCTCAGAAGAAATATTTCTGATTTGAAAAGAAATAAATCTGTCAAGAGGAAAATATTAAAAATAAAAAGTGTGACTGTAATAATCACATCGATGTCACAGGCAATTTTGCTCATTCGGATTGGGGAAGGAAACTTCCCTGCCCCCCCAAAGGAATTGTCAAAGTAAGAGAAATGGAATTTTTATTTCAATAACCACTTTGGTTTAAGGGTAATTTATGTATAAGGAAGCACAACAGCCTCAAGAATCAAATTTCCTTAAAATATTATTTTGTATTCTCTCTGCTACAAGGCTTAGTGAAACTGATGGATCAAAGTGAAGAATTACTAAATTTGTTTCTCTAAGTTACAGTTTAACAGACACTGTACACCACACACAGCACTGGCAAAAGGGCAGTGTTTTGCATTTTGCAAAGGGTTATACCCAGAGAATAATATTTCTTGAAATTAAATAATCCTCATAATGTTAAAATGAAAAATGGAAGAAAAGCTAGTTTTGTTTGACCGGATCCAGAAAAGTAGCAAATCTTCCGCTGCCCACACCCACCTCCCGTCACACACACACACACCCTTGGGCTCAGTCACTGCTGTTTTCATCAATAATAAATAGCAGTGCTATATGGCATTTAAGTTTTTTTTTTTCTTTTTTTAGTATGCATTTCCTCAGAGAAGATAGAAAGAATGTTCAGGCATTTAAATGAGCAGTTTAAATTCTTATTTCTTTCTAGAATGATCTCTGGCTATAGCTAGAACTAGCTGCATTTAGGATTGAAAAACAAAGGAAGAAGAATATATAAAACAACTAAATCACGGCTTCATATTTGCTCAGCTCCACACAGAAAATATTTATCACTGTCTCCATAGCAATTCTTACTGATCGCATCGATTAACCCAAGGCACACTTGCCGCACGCGGTACTCGGTAGGGAGCCTGCCGTCAATCTGCGAGTGCGTCTAAGGCTTGTCTTTCTTTTCTTTCCCTTCTTCTCTTCTCTTCTCTTCTCTTCTCTTCTCTTCTCTTCTCTTCTCTTCTCTTCTCTTCTTTCTCTTCTCTCTTCTCTTCTTTCTCCTTCCTTCCTTCCTTCCTTCCTTCCTTCCTTCCTTCCTTCCTTCCTTCCTTCCTTTCTTTCTTTGATGGAGTGCCAGGCTGTCACCCAGGCTGGAGTGCAATGGCACCATCCCGGCTCACTGCAACCTCCGCCTCCTGGGTTCAAGCGATTCTCCTGCCTCAGCCTCCCGAGTAGCTGGGACTACAGGCGCCCGCCACCACACCCGGCTAATTTTTTGTATTTTTAATAGAGACGGGGTTTCACCATGTTAGCCAGGATGGACTCGATCTCATGACCTCGTGATCCACCCGCCTCAGCCTCCCAAGGTGCAGCTTGTCCTCCGTTCTTAATCACCTTTTGCTGATTACCGCCTTGTTTCTGAGATGCTCAATTTGGTCTTACTACTGTAGGATCATAGGGTCCTCTCTTTGCACATGGAATGCTTTTCCATGACAAATACCATTACTCAAAGTTATTGAAGATTGGTAACTACTTAAACAGGATATATTCCCTAGAATACTTTCAGCATTTTTTCACTTTCTGAAAAAATCATCTTATGGAAAGGAAAAGACCAGGCATTTGCCAATTTCCAGATGCCAAATTCCCCTGTTAGATGATATGTAATTTTTATTTTATTTTAATTGCTTTAATTTTTTTTTTGATTTTTTAGGTGGAGTCTCACTCTGTCCCCCAGGCTGGAGTGCAGTGGAGTGCAGAGTGCTCGGCTCACTGCAACCTCTGCCTCTCGGGTTCAAGAAATTCTCCTGCCTCAGCCTCCAAGTAGCTGGGATTGCAGGCGCCTGCCACCACACCTGGCTAATTTTTTTTGAATTTTTAGTAGAGACGGGGTTTCACCATGTTGGTCAGGCTGGTCTCAAAACCCTGGCCTCAAATGATTCACCTGCCTTTGCCTCCCAAAATGCTGGGGTTGCAGGTGTGAGCCACCATGCCTGGCCCACAATATGTAATTTTAATTCTAAAACAGAAAACAAAGAAAGAACAGCTATCATAATTGTGGCAAAGAGGAATTAAAAGAAAAAAATTTCAAACTTCATTAATGGCTGCTTCAGTTTATTTTGAGATTGAATATTACATTATAATTTTGGTCTGAGGGGAGGTTACATGAGATGTTAATATACGTAAAAGTCCCCATTGGTTGGCCTGGTGCTAAAGGCATCCTCAAAACATGTTCTGTTCCTTATTAACCTCAAGAGATGGGGACATGGTCCTAACATCTGTGGTGTTCTCATGTTGGTTTATATCTGACTTTATTTCTCAATATTTATTTCTATCAAAGGATAAAATATGGAAGTGTTTACATATTACAATTTTTATAATATTATATTTTTTAACACTTGAAAGTTTTAAAATTTTTACATTTAAAAAGAAATTATAACTACTATTCAGCCATTAAAAAGAATGAAATCACGTCTTTTGCAGCAATATGGATGGAACCAGGGGGCACTATCCGAAATGAAATGCTTCAGAAAAAAAAGTTTAAAAACCACATGTTCTCACTTCTAAGTGAGAGCTTAACCACAGGTATACACTGACAGGGAGTGGAATAACAGACATCGGCATCTCTGATAAGTGGGAGGGTGGAAGTAGGGGAAGGGATGAAATACTACCTATTGGGTACAATGTTCACTATTCCAGTGATGGTTACACAAAAAGCCCAGACTTCACCTCTATGCAATATATCCATATAACATAACTGCACTTATACCCCTAAATGTATACAAATAAAAAAAAAAAAACTATGACACTTTAATATCACATTTTTCCTATGTTACAGGCTAGTGGAATGTAAATGTAGATTAAAATGAATTGGTTATTTTCTTATTCTTATTTCCAACAATAGCTCATAATAACTACTCTAATATGAGAATACATTCTGTCTTTTAAATGAGACTAGAAAGCTATCAAAACACAAAAGTAGAATCTGTCAGAAACAGTGGCTCAGAGGAGTGAAACATGAACGAAATGTAATGAGGAGCAGAAACGGACAGGTCTGACTTGGCAAGTCTTGGGTGGAGGTCCCAGTTTCTACGTCAGGTGAGGGCACACCTTGAGGTAGCCTGCTAGCTGTCTTTACTTGGAGAGGGAAGTCAGGTAATGACTTTCGGATGTACATGCACAGAGGAGGCAAATGTGAAATCACAGGGTGAGCTGGGAGCAGATGAATTGGCACCAAGCAAAGAACGTGCCCAGTACACACTTAGTCAATGCTCCACGAAGAATCTGTGGATCGACTCAATAAATACACACAGAGCCACCACCGACCACCCGCCACTCATTGGCCAAGTACTAACAATACAATGAGAAGAAACCATAGTCTCTATCTTAAATGTGGCTGCTATTCTCAAAACCAAACTTCTGTTTTAATCAGTGAAGAAACAGAGAGCTGCAGATTTCAAATGAAAGCTTCAGTTCTCTTGCAAGAAGCCTACTACTATACATACATAATTTTTGGAAATGTTTTCTCAAATGTTCTTAAACCAATAAGAAAGTAATATATTTTTTCAAAAGTAAATTTAAAATAAATTAAAAATAAAGTTTACAAAGAAATGAGCATACATGTGATAAGGAGAAACATCAGAACTGATGACTTTTTTTCAGCCAGGATATTTAGTAAAAATGTCAGAGACACAGTAAGTATTCAAATAATGGTCATTGGATAAAGAAACAAAGTGTCCTTATGGGACGAACTATCACCAACACAGCATAAAATCTGAAGTTTTCCCTATATTCTTTCACATTATCTTTCCTCTGTCAAATGAAATGTTGATATAGTTGGCTGTGTCCCCACCCAAATCTCATCTTGAATTCCCATGTGCTGTGGGAGAGACTGTGTGGGAGGAAACTGACTCTTGGGGGTGGGTCTTTCCCATGCTGTTCTCATGATAGTGAGTAAGTCATACAAGATCTGATGGTTTTAAAAATGGGAGGTTCCCTGCACAAGCTCCCTCTTTGCCTGCCACCATCCACATAAGATGTGACTTGCTCCTCCTTGCCTTCTGCCATGATTGTGAGGCCTCCCAGCCAGTTGGAACTTTAAGTCCATTAAAGCTCTTTCTTTTGTAAATTGTCCAGTCTCAGATATGTCTTTATCAGCAGTGGGAAAACAGACTAATACAAATGGCTTAATGGTAAATATAAGGGGTTTTCAAAAAAGTTCATAGAAAATGTATCCTTTAAAAACCGTGCATAGATTTCAAAAGTTTTTTGCATCGAAGTCAACTTGTACTAAGCTACTGCAAGATGTCTGAACAAACTCTAGTTTGAATCACTCAAAAGGATAAGACATCATTTTGAAAAGAGCACCTAACAGAGCAAAATGAATTCTGCTAAAATTGAAGCATGAATGCACATCAGATTTATAGTGAAGCAATGGTAACATCACTGATTGCTTTACAAGAAGTTTACCATGACAATGCCCCAGATAAATCAGCAGTTTACAAATGGATAATGTATTATATAGAGGGACAAGACAATGTTGAAGATGATGCCCACAACAACAGACCATTCACATTAATTTGCAAGAAAAAACTTGCTGTTTATGTCCTAATTGAAGGGGACTGATGACTAAGAGCAGAAACATGAGCCAACACCATAGACATCTCAATTCATTCAGCTTACACAATTCTGACCGAAAAATTCAAGTTGACCAAACTGATCATGGGATGGGTGCAAAACCATTGTGCCCAAACAAGCTGCAGACAAGAGCAGAGCTTTCAATGGAAATTTTAAATAAGTGGGATTAAGTTCCTAAAGCATTTATTTGAAGAACTCTAGCCAGAGACGAAGCATAGCTTTACCAGTACAATCCTGAATACACAACAAAAGCAAAGCAATGGCTACCAAGAGGGGGACATGTTTCAGTCAAAGCACATTGAACTAGTCAAGAGCGAAGTTCATGGCAACAGTTTTTTGGGATGCTCAAGACATTTTGTTTGTTGTCTTTCTGGAGCGTAAAATAACAATAGCATCTGCATATTATGAGAGTGTTTTGAGAAAGTTGGCCAAAGTGTTAGGAGAAAAACACTGAGGTAAGCTTCACCAGTGAGTCCTTTTCCACCACAACAATGCTCCTGCTCATTTCTCTCATCAAAAACGGCAATTTTGTGAGAGTTTTGATGGGAAATCAATAGGCATCTACCTGACCGTCCTGCTTTGGCTCCTTATGGCTTCTTTTTGTTTTCTAATCTTAAAAAAGCATTAAATGGCACCCATTTTTCTTCAGTTAATAATATAGAAAAGACAGCATTGACATGGTTAAATTCCCAGGACACTTAGTTCTTTAGCAATGAACTGAATTGCTGGTATTATCGCTTCTGATCTTGTTGGTGCTTATGTTGAGAAATGAAACTCATGTTTTTTATTTTTATTTGATAATTTTATTTTGAGATAAACTTTTTGTAGTCCTCTAGTAGTAGGAAAAAGAAATGGGCAACAACAACCCATAATTCAGATAACTGAATTTTGGGTCTTATAATCTTAGTTGATCTTCATCCCAAATGACTTGAAATCGTCTGTATAATTTTCTTAGCCTTATCAAATAAAATAATAATTATTAAGGCATGTTAAAAACAGTTAGAAACATTGTCTTTAACTTATTGATTAACAAATGCCCTGTTATCGTTACTATGTTTTCTTAAAGAAGATATTAGAGAACACAGAGTCTCAAGTTCTACTGTATGGACTTTTGCTCCAGCTTCCATTTATGAGCTGTCAGTAACTCTATGATTAAAATGGGGACAGTAATGGTACTCAGCTCACTGGGTTGTGTATGCCCAAATACATGCAAACACACACACACATATTTCACATATAAATATTTTATATAAGCCTATTGTACCATGGTAGTTTATTTGACCTAAAGATATTCACGTTCAAGTTTCTCTCAACACTCAATTATAACAAAAGCTATTATAACACATGTTGAGCATTTCCCATGTGCAGGCACTTTTCCACATGCTTTTCAAGTATTAATTCATTTAGTACTCCCCAAACCTGTGAATTAGGTGGTGCTATGTTCCTGTTTTAGAGATGAGGTGTTTGAGACAAAGAAAGATAATTAGATTCACTTGCTAAGATCACAAAATGTTGGGATTTCTTTACCATGTTTATTGTCCTTCAACTATTGAACAACTCTACACATGCACACACATAAGCATGCAAACACACACGCGCATGCACACACACAGACTCTCAAGGGATCCAAAGCCATAGCCAACATGTGTTTGCTTTCTTGTCATTTTCACACCCCAAGGAAAAGGAAGCCTCCCTTTTCACTCTCCTTTCCTGGGATGTTGAAGAAACTGTCCAGGCTCAGAGACAAGGGGAAACCCTTCAGAGTGGTCTTCAGTGTGACATTGTACTTGACATGTTCTAGAAAGCAATGTGGGTCCCACCTGGAGCTAAGTGAGGAGAAGTAAAGGTTCAACACAGAAGGTGAGGTGCTATGGGGGCCCCTGTAATGGAGAAATAGCCTTGCTGTAATTATGTCCCAGGTGAATGTTACACTGGTGAACTATCTGGGCTCAATCGAAAAGTGTTATAGAATTCAATAAGCACAGGTTAAAATAAAGCACTTAATGCAATCCAGAATCTGTTTATTTTTAATTTCTTGTTCTTTAAATTTACCAGTATGTTCATCAATTACAGTTGACAATCTGTCCTCCAATTCCTTTGTCTAAGAATAATCACCCTCACTCTACTTCAGGAACTCAATTGATTTTTCTCTCTATAGTTTTAGCTTTCTTCTTTATATTCTGACTATTGAGGCCATTTATTAAAACTACAATCAAAATATTGAATACATCTCAATACTCCCCAGTGCTGAAATATCTGTTTCAAAGCCTAGACAGCTGGAACTCAGAAAAATCAGTATAACTCACTGTTCCAGGTTTTTTAGAGGAGTGGGGATATTTCTCTTATCAGTCTAGAATGGTTTTTCCTTTTACAATTGGGTCAGGTTCACATAATTCATATTATCTATCTATCTATCTATCTATCTATCTATCATCTATCATCTATCTATATATCTATCATCTATCTATCATCATCTACATATCTATAATCTATCTATCATCTATCTATCTATCTGTCTATCATCTGTCTATCATCTGTCTGTCTATCTGTCTTTCTGTCTTAGTCCATGTAGTGTTGCTATAAAGGAATACCTGAGGTTGAGTAATTTATAAAGGAAAGAAGTTTATTTGGCTTATGGTTCTGCAGGCTGTACAAGAAGCATGGTGCCAGCATCTGCTGAGCTTCCAGGGAGGTCTCAGGCTGCTCCCACCCCTGGTGGGAGGCAAAGGGAAGCCAGCTGTGCAGATCCATATGATACGTAGGTATAGATCTATGGATCACATGGATCTCTCTCTCTGATCTGTATCTACACATCACAGGCACGTGTATCTCTATCCATGTGATCATACGGAGATGTGAGAGAGGGAGAAAGTGGGGAGGTGCCGGGCTTTTGTTAATAACAGCTGTCTTGTGGGAACTAACAGAGTGAGAATTCACTTACCACTCCCCCAGGGTATTAACCTATTAATGAGAAATCTACCTTCAGAACCCAAACACCTCCCATTAGGTCCCACTTCCAATGGTTAGATCACATTTCAACATGAGATTTGGAGGGACAAACATCCAAAGCACAACATTATCTGTCTATCTATCTATCATCTATCTATCTATCTATCTATCTATCTATCTATCTATCTATCTATCATCTATCTATCTATATCTATGTATCTATTTATCTTTGTCACTATTTATCTTTCTCTATATATAAATATTTATCTATACCTATCTATATCTCTATCTCTGTCTCTATCTTGACCTATCTCTATGTCTATCTATACCTCTCTATATCTCTATTTATCTTTATCTTTCTATCTATATCTCTCTATATATCTATCTCTATTTATCTTTATCTCTTTCTATCTCTCTATCTGTATATCCCTCTCCTTCTCACTCTCTGTCTCTATCAGACATATTAAGGTAGAAAAACATCCAAGCTTGTGCCAGTCAAGTGGAATAAAGTCATCCATCTGATGTTCCTTCTGCCAAAAATCCATAAAGTTAGATAAATTCGTAAGAGTTGTGAAGCTCAATAAAAAGTGCCATTGGAAAGGAGCAATGTGGATGTGTTCCTCAAAGGCAGAAATGACGATGGAGGGGAGCATACCCTGCTGATATCTGCTAAGGGACTCTGATATTGTAAACACTAAATACTGCATAGTGTACAGCAGGCACCAGCCGACACACTGCAGGTTTAAGAAACAGCCCTGTGAGGTCCATGACTCCCACTGCCCCGCACAGACCCACTTCCAAGCTCAGGCTGGCAGGACACCCAGAGGCCCTTTTTTGTGGGAAAGACAAATTCCTCTGCTGGATACATAGGAACATTTCTGAGTTCCCATCACACAGCTTCATCAGGCCACATTTTCACTGTATAGTGAAGCCCACATATCCACATAGATATTTCCTCAATAATGTGTATAGTATTCCTATAAGAAACAATCGTTGGACATCCTGAAGCATGAAAAATAAAGGAATCAGTATTTGTAATAGAGAATGTAGGAGCAGAAGAAGACTTCAAATTAAAATCCAGTCACTAATATTCATTCTCAAAGGATAAGATAAAATTGTCATCAATAAAATAATAGGATGTTATAAACCAATAAACAACTTGAAAGCAAGAAAAAAACTTAATAATAAATATATGATAGATGATTCTTGAAATACTTATTGGAAGAGTTGGAGGATAAAATCAAAGAAATTTCTCTAAAAGAAGAACAATAACACAAAGAGATTGACCAAGGGAAATAAGCAATTTTCAGTCTTTGAGGTCCATTGTCCTTTCAGTAGGAGTTAGAGCAAAAGAGCATGGAGAAAACACACAGAGGGTTCCATCAAATACAAGGTGGGAGAAGACATCCCAAAACAACAAAGATGGGTCTCCAAAACCAAGACTTCACCATGACCTCAGTGCAGTGAATGAGAGAAACTCACCCAGAGCTCTTCTCTATGACAATTTAAACACTGGCAATAACGCTAAAATGCTAAAAGCTCCAGAGAGCTGAACATGGATCACAGGCATGATTCTAGGAGTTAGAGAGGCATTTATTTTCTAGATAGCCACTCCCAAAGTCTGTAAAATATTTGCATTGTTCAGAAAGAAGATAGTGACTGATTCTAGGTGCAGATACACACACAGACATACATAAACACAGGATTAAATTCAGCAGGCCAAGAGGTACACCCAGATACAAATGACAACGCAGTTAAAAACAAAGTGTTGAGGAAGGAAATTAAAATTACAACATAAAGTAAAGAGCTATAGAAATAATACAGAGATGTAATTCAAGACAAAGCATGTTAAATGTTAAAAACCACTAAGATAATATAGCAGCAAGGTGAACCTTCACGTGCTGCTCAACACAGCTTCAGCATACTATGGGAACAGTGGCATCTACAACAAAATGGGATATTTTAGAGTACTTTTTAAAACACTAGTAAGTCTTCTTGAAAAATAATTTGTAAAAGCACAGTATTTGAATTCTGCAATGACTAACAGATATAATAGCTCTAAACAGGACATTATGTTCCTCAAATTAATTAATATTTTTTCAAACACCATTAATGAGAAAATGGTCATGTAATAGATATGAAAGACAAAATCAACGAAGTCCAAAAGCGTACATGATCTGTAACCACATTGCAATGAGGTGACAAAGGCAGAATTAAAATGGATTGCTAAAATTCTATCTACATGAAAATATAGACTGTGGGACAGAAAATTAAAAAGTATCTATAAATGTATTGCAAAGGTGCACCTATGTTGAATATTTAAAATACAACTTAGAAGGTTGGTTAGAGGGAAATGTATAACCTAGCAATCAACAGAATTTGACAACTGAGAATTGACATCAAAAAGCTAGGGAAAAAATGCATATCTAAAGAAGAAAAGAGAGAAAAGAAGAATGTAGCACAAATCAATAAAATTAAAACAAACATGCAGAATTGAATAAATGAACAAATGAAAAATGTATTCCTTGCATGTGTGAATAAAGCAGATAAGCTTTTGTGAAGGCTGATGTAAGAACACAGAGAATCCATGACATAACGTTAGGAATATTGGGGCAGACACAGATAATCTAATAGAATAGAATATTGTAGTCGAATTTTGTTTAAAAGTAATACAAATAAATTTGAAAATGTAGATTAATAAACTATTAGAAAAATGTATATTATTAATTTTTTTTCAAATAAGTAAAACACTGGAGTGAACCAGCACCCAGGAAAAACATTGAAAAGGAAACAAGAATTCTACCCATAAAAAGGACATCACTTTCTACAAAGCTTCAAAATTAAGTTCTATCTTTACATATCAGCAATATTTCTATATTTAATATGTTATCAGAGAATACAGAAAAAATACTCATTCTCTGCATCTTAGCACAACCCTGAAAACCCGACAGGGCAAGTCCAGCTCAGTGCCTACGTCCATGACCCAACAGAGCAGGGACAAGAGCTGTGCCTGGGACGGACCCGCAGCTGCAGCACGAGGCAGATGGCGGAAACGCAGAACCTTGCATGCCATCCCCGAACTACTGAACTGAGATCTGCATTTTAACAAGCCCCCAAACTCAACTTTCTACTCAATACGTTAGCCAGTGACACTAACCCTGCAGACAAAATCCTAGATCAAACATGAGGAAGTTAAACCAATGTTAGAGTATAGTACATCATACTTAAGTAAGGTTTCATTCCAAAAGTAGTTTCATGTAAACATGTCTAGTCGTGGAATTCACTCAAGTGAGAGAATTTTGGAGAAAAAAAATAGTAAAGTCTGAAAAAATTCACAAAATTGAAGACACATCCTTGATTTTTAAACGTATAAACTGGAAATCGAAGGAAAATGGATATGGACTATATTAAACGAATAAGAATTGGTAGCAGAAAACCATAGTGGGCATCCTGTTTGATAATAATATGTTATTTATTTATTTTTAATTGACAGATAATTGTACATATTTATGGGATACATTGTGAAGCTTTGACGTATGTAGGCGTAGTGGAATGATGTACATATGCATGTGGAAATCAAGCTAAGGAATACGTCCATCATCTCATCTACTAATTTTTGGTAGTGAGAATGTTTAAAATCTACTGTCTTAGCATCATTAAAATGTACAATTACGTTATTATTATTAACTATGGTCACCATGCTGTGCAATAGGTTACTAAAACTTATTCTTCCTGTCTATCTGAAACTTGTTATTCTTTAGCTGATGTCTCCCCTTTTCCCACTCCACCACATACCCCCAAGAAGCTGTCATTCTGCTCTTTACTTCTATGAGTTTGATTTGTTTAGATTCCACATATACTTGTTTCTCTGTGCCTGGCTTATTTCAATTATCATAACGCCCTCTGTGTTCACCCATGTTGTCACAAATGCAGTATTTCCTTTATTAAGGCTGAATAGTGTTCCATTTTGTATATATACCAAGTTTTTTTAATCCATTCATTTGTTCACGGACACTTAGGCTGATTTTTTACCTTGGCTATGGTGAATAGTGCCAATATCTCTTAAACATACCGATTCCAATTCCTCTGAATATATACCCAGCAGTGGGACTGCTGGATTGCATGGTAGTCCTATTTTTAGTTTTTTGAGGAATCTTCATACTGTTTTCCAAAAGGGCTGTACTAATTTACATTCCCACCAACAGTGTTCAAGGGTTCCCTTTTTTCCCCATCTTTGTCAGCACTTGTTAACTTGTGTCTTTTTGATAATAGCCATTCTAACAGGTGTGAGGTGATTTCTCCCTGTGGCTTTAATTTGCATTTCCCTCATGATTAACAACATTGAGCATTTTTTCATGTACCTGTTGGCCATTTCTATGTATTTTTTTGGAGAAATATCTCTTCAGGTCTTTTGCCCATTTTTGAATCTGGTTGTTTTTAATCCGATTGTATGTTTTTAACCTCTTTCTCAACTCCTTAACTTCATAAATCAGAGCTTGTTAACATAACCCCAGTCCTTTTCAGATTTCTTTCAGAAGTAATATTTCTGAATATTACTTCTGAAAGAAATTTCATAATATTTTGTGTGTTATGAAAACCCAGATGCTGAGCACAAACTCCTATGTCATCAATGATTTTCTGGCGATTCACAGGGAAAGAACAGGAAGCACTAGAAGCCATTGGAGGCGCTGTGGATGCGTCCGCCAAATAAACCTGCGGGTGGTAAATGCAGATTCGTCAGGAGTGATCGCAGGAAGCCTGCCTGTAACTCTCTTCTGCTTGCGCACATCTGCTCTTTTCACTCCTCCGTCCGTCCTCGGGTGTATGTAGCTGCTGTTGGAGAAATGCACTTTGTTTTTGTGTCATTGATAAGGACATCGCCTTTCCCTCATTTTTAGAAACTCTTTATTCTCACCTGCGGCTCTGTCAGCAAGTCCCTGCAGGAGAACTTCCTGTGTGTAGTTTGGAGACAAGGGCTGGAGAGGGCGGGAACTCAAGGCTCGATCACGTCCAAGAGCCTTCTCAATGTGGAGGACGAAGAAACTCCTGGCCTCCGTGCGCCATGCTGGCCCTCAGGACACAGCCCCCCATCCACACCTTCCTACCTGTGAGGCCCACAGGCTGCCTCCAAAAGCACCAGCACTGCTGGACCCTGTTTCTACCCCATGGAGCAGGGGCTGCCAGCATGAATTTGTGTATGTAATAACAGTGATGTCTGTGCAAAGCGTTGAGTCAATCACTGTACTTCAATGACTAATTAAATGAGAAAAAAACGCAGTCAAACTGATTGATTGGATTCCCCAGGCATGTGTCTGAATTGACTGAATTCAGTTAAAATGGCCGCACTGATAGTTCCGCATGGACATAATCTGCCTCCAGTTTTGTTTTTCAAACCTTTGGAAACGTTTAACTTCCCAGACTGCCTCTGGAGAAGGGAGACTGGAGAGCACAGAGGGAATGTGCCCCCAATTTTGAACTGTTGTTAGCCCGTTTGTCGAAGCAGAGCATAATGGGGCGTGTACGGGAGAGGGGTAGAATATGCCTAGAGAACAATCTTCCTTCAATTTTATTATTTCGACAGAACAAGAAAATTAGGTTGACTAGGAAAATGGTTTTTAACCTTTATCCTTAGCATAAATCAAGAGGCTCATTTTTCAGTCTATTCCTATAGAATTCAATTAAAGGTCAGGTTTGTAATGGAGATCCTAATTATTAATGTGTTGCTATTTTAATTATTGATAAGTTGAAATATTTGCATAATGGATAAAGAAAATGCCGACGAACAAGTTTGGAAGCATTTGGGGAGTTTTCAAATATTTTATCAATATCCTTCTCTTGGGATTATACAGATGATTTTTTAAACACACTCACCTAAAACATTGATTTAAAGTATGATAAAGGTAAAGTTACTGCTATTACTACCCATCAGACAAACTGTTAACCACATTACATCTATCATGGTTCTGAAATATTTTTAGAAAGTGACTTGTATAGAAATCATCAAAAAACAGTAATATATTTTTAGTACTTTACGCAAGTCTAACATTTATTTTTAAATAATAATTTAGTTCATGATTTATTGTAACCATACCCAGTGTTTATGAACTTCATCCTGCAAAGATACTGAATCTCAGTCTGTGATTAGGGTTTGGAACAGGCAGAAGCATGCCACATACCTGAAGCTCTTAACCACATGCTATCAGAATTTGCTTTTCTATGTGCAACTTAGAAAATTCTGTTTCTGGAATAAAAAATAAAGCTCCTGCCAAAAGTGGGCAGCAAATAGATCATGGAAATGATAATGTTACCTCTAAGATAATATGAACTTCAGCTCAAAGGAAAGATGTTTCCTAGTCGTTTGCTTTTTTTTTTTTTAACGATGATATTATGATAAAGTACAAATTTTCTTTCAAATCTAAAGTGCCATTAAAAGTTTATTATCAGTATAATTTGATTCATTTTGACTAAACTGTGTAACCTCAAATATTGGGAAGAATTTTCAATGTTATTTATATAAACATGTAAAAATTATTGTACCTAAGAGCCAATCAATTCCCTCTTTTAAAAAGAGAAAAGAGAGCAAGAATTTTTCAGCCTTAAAGAAATAATTTATCCAGGGATGTTTGAGGGCAGGATTAGTGATACTGACTAAAATGAACTTTTCAATACCTAATGTGATATTTGTTAGGGCTCAGTTTAACCAATGTTAGTAATTATAAGAGACACAAAATTCACTATTAATTAGTTCATCATGAATTATTTAGGAATAGGCCTTTAAAGGAGAGCCATTTCCAAGCTTGTTTTCTATATTTGGTGTGGATCTCATTCCTATACTTCTTTACATTAATTTCTTTTCACCTGGTGAAATTATCTTTTATTGTTTTCCATAGCTATTAGATTAAAGTGTTTTGTTCTCATGATTAATATCAAACCATAAGTTTTTTTGTTAGGGGAGGGATAGAATTCACTGTTTATATGGAAGATACTGTGTTTTGAAATAGATTTTTTTTAATTCTAAAAGCTCCTAGTTTAAAATATCATTTTTTTCTGATGAAAACAGAGTACACGGTTTCAAATTAAAGAATTGTCAGCAAAGCCTTACCTTTCAAAATACGACTGCATTAAGGAAATAGCAGTTAGTACAATTAACTCATAACTCAATGCTGAAGAATATCTTTCCTTAGAGATTTTTCTTTCTTGAGAATAAACTTAACTAAGTGAAAAGTAGTCTCATGTATAGATATATGAAGGGGATATCTGTTTGATTTGGTTTTGCTCACATGGTTTAAAATTTACATGACCTATTTATGGCAATTTACCCTAATAGGTTCATTTATTAATTTACTTATTCACACATTTACTGAGCACCTGCCTTATATCTGGTTTTATTTTTAAGAAGACACCTGGCAACCAAGACACAGGAAATGACAGCAGCCAGGTCAGATGATGCTGTTTCCTATTCCAAAGGGAGAATACATCACAAGGGGATGAGGAGATCATAATGACGAGAGTGTGCTGGAAAGGAAAATAAGAGACAACCTTTTCTAATTAGAATTCCTATGGATGGAAATCATGTAATTGTTTATTTATTTATTGGAAGAGCTCACTTAGACTTATTTAGGTAGATTTTAAAATAATGTGCTTTGCTCAGGCCTCCATATATAGGAAAATATAAGTGAAATGAGTTAACATGTCCGTAAAGATTCTTCACCTGCTGACTGAGAGGAGCCCTTGTGCTCAGAGTCAGGAGGGCTTTCTCTGTGCAAGTGCTCTCACTGCCCCCGTGTGCATCGCCCTGCCAGCATTTCTGTAAGAAGTGCTCCAACGTCATCTCCTAACATCGTTTCAAAAGTCACTGGTGTTTCTACACTCCTCTGTTTAAAAATATAAAGAGTCTTTATTTCAAGCAGTCAACTTCAAATGATTAGAAAACAATCAAGGGATCAAATCATCTCAAAGCAACAGCCTTTTTGTTGAGTTATTTCTTAATGAAGTTTTCACCATGTTTTAAGATGAAACTTCCCATATATCACAAATAAGCAACAGCAAGCCCTCTACATTCCATGATGAGTCCCCTTTTAATGGAGTTCAATTTGGTCTACTTACTGTTTCTTAGTCACAATAACAAAAATGCAAAATAGAGAGCTTGTGTAATGCATATCTTTTATGATTGTAAGCATGCCATTAGCTCTGGAAAAACACACTGGCTCAAAACCGTGAAAGAGATTGGGTTCTGTGGTTTGCACAACCACAGACCGCAGGTGTCCTTAAAGGCTGAGGTCTGTGTCGAGGTCAAGGTCAGGATGCCAGACAATCATTTAGGAGGGAGAAAAATTCTTCTTTAAGGAGAAGGGTTTATTGAGAGTGGTTCTTGGTGGGTTTAATAGCAGCCATAAAACTCAACACATTCAATTTAGTGTTGTTTTGAGGAAATGAGAAAACGATATGAAAAACACAAAACCAGAAGGCTTAGAGTCGCACGTGACAAAACAGTTTTACCGATTGTATGAATCAATTTTAAAACATTTACTTCCATTCTAAAAGTCAACCTCAAAGAATAAAGACTTGAAAGAAGTGCTGTCAATGTCTTTGAAACTGTTATCTATTCTACTAGAGTGGGCAATACAATGAAGCTCTTTCAATTCTAAAATACAGTTAGGGTGGAGTTGGGGCTTGTCTTATAATCCAGGGACACCTGTCAGTAACGTGATGTGCTCCCTTACACTCAACTGTTACTTAAGTTCCAGGAAACGCAAGAATTGCAGACAGCATTGTTGACATGTGGGCCAGTGACATTGCCACTCCTACGCACTCTGTCTCAGTTGTCAGGCTTCTACTGAAATAATTGATTGCGTAACTTTTGTCCATTCCCAGAACGTGGGCTCCATCAGGGCCGCTCTCATGCCTGTCTCTGTGACCCCTTGATCTCCAGTGCTGAGATCACAGTCGGTCTCTCTCTGTTTTTATTGGTTAAGTGAATACCATAGTTGTGAGAAGCATTATAAGCAGTTTGTTTGCATCACTGTGATGGTCCCTCACTTATTTTCCATCGGTTCCTGTGAGAGTTTGTTGGGTATCCACTCAATCTAGTTGATGTTTTTACACAGGAGAAAACAAAGTCATTTGTTTTGTTGAAAAACATTTGCAGGTACAGGAAATTAACTTGGTTTCCTAATGAGGAAGGACCGCTGGACCCCTTGGCCTGGAAGGCAGGCTGCCATTCCTCCTTTGATGGGCCTTCTCTCCACCTTCCTGAGCCCTTTCTGTGTCCCTTTCTCTTTCCTTTCCTTTCCTTCTGCTTCCTCTTTTGTCTTCTCAAAGGCAACATGAGTTGCTTCTCTCTTCTCTCACCCTGGGTCTCCCCAGTCTTGAGTCATCTGGAAGGTCCTGTGTCATTGTTCTAAACTCTCTCTCTTTTCTGCTATGAAGGATGCTATCTAGATGAGTTACAAAGTTTCTGTAAATTCTAAAATTTTATGCGGTCATATATGAAATTTAGAATTTTAGAATTCAGTCATATATGACTGCATACAATTTTAGAATTTACAGAAACTTTGTGAATAATCTAGATGGCATCCTTCACAGCAAAACAATAACCCAGGACCTCCCAGATGACGGTGTGTTCCGGAGCGATGCACAGAGCTTCTGCCGGTGTCTCCTGGTGATGAGGAAGATTTACCTGGGGATGAAGACAAATGGTGAATTAAACCAATTGTCTTTAATAATAAAATGTGTGAGGAAAAATACTGTCTAATTTAGGAGGTCTAATTTATAAGATAGTTTTAAAAATAGCTGACTGTGAAGCAACACTAACAGTTATTTGGTGTCTTTTCAACATTAATAAATACATGACAATTAACTAATTTAAGCATTTTTATTCATTCTGCCTCTAAACACTTTAGAGTTTCTGAAAACAAAGCATTTTCTTCTGTGTTAAAATGTCATAACATATGCAGTTTTAAATACTAACAGGATTATATATGAGTATCAGATTTGCAAAACTGAGGACAACTTTGAAATGAGATTCCAAATGAATTGTGTTAGGTTTTGATATGGAAATGTGTTCTACAATTCATCACATCCTAGTACAGGTGTGTGCCCTGTGTAATATACATGGAAACGGGGCAGGCCCTCCTCTGTGTGTGTCTGTGTGTACAAATGCTTTCTTTCCCTGAATTCTCACACAAAACAACTTCAGCCAGCATATGCCAATGGGAAGGCTTAGTCTATGGCTGATTTGGAAAAGTGGCCAAGCTACTTAACCTCTAGGTTCTCACTTGTAAAGCTTCCCCTGGTCCTGCTGAGAGTATAAATGAGAAGTTGTGATTCACAGAGGGCGTTCCCTGGAAGATAAGCATTGATTCAAGATATTTTGTTTAGTGTGAAGCATAACACCCATTTCTGACCCCCTGGAGAATTGCTTTTAAAACAAAAAAGAAGACATATACTTGCATATTCCTTGAAGAGCATATACAATGAATAAAGTAGAATTGAGGTAACATTCATGCTTAGGAAGCATCTAAATAGTCTAGAAAACAATCTTTTATAAAAGAAGATTAATGTCATTTCATCAGTGTCATGACAATTGATGTGTAGGACAAAAATTAGAATATTGTCAAAGATTTTTAGCCACTGGAATCACTAAGAATGTGTACAACTGGGTTCAGAATACTTGAAAATTTTCTCTGCTTTGTGGACATATACTCGTCACAATAGAGCCAATGAAACACTTCGAAATTAATAAAATTTGGAAAAAAGGAATGAATTTGCAATGATGGAGAAAATGTATATTTATTGCATTGCAGCATATTTAGTAAATTCATTATTTCTTCCTTTGACTATTCTCCATTTAATTAACTGATTAAAATCAAAGTGGATTTTAAATATAAATATTGATTTTTAAGTGGAAAATAATATGATTTCATCTTTGAAAAGTAGACAGACATTAAGATCAGTCTCAAACTTTTTCAATACCAGAAAAAAAGAGTATGAACCCTTCATATAACTATTGTACATTTTCATAATTTACTTAAGCAATGACACTGTTTCCTAAGGAAATATTACTGTAAAGAGGGAAAATAAAAAATAAAAAGTGGGAAAAAAACTGTGTTCTGAATCATTCATTATGTGAAATCATCACACATTCCTCCTTATGTGAGGAAATGTGTTTAGAATTTCAACATGTAATAATATAAAAGCGGAGGGTGAGGTGGGAGGACTACTTGTGCCCAGGAGTTCAAGACCAGTCTAGGCAACATAGTGGGACCCATTCTCTACAAAAAACTTAAAAACTAGCTGGGCGAGGTTATGCACCTGTGGTGCCAGCTACTTAGGAGGCTGCGGCGGGAGGATCGCTTGAGTTGGGGAATTGAGGCTGCACTAAGCAGTGACCATACCACTCTAGCCTCAGCAACAGAGCAAGACTCTGTCTCAATAATAATAATATAAATCTACATTATATGAAGTAGTTAAATATATCTTCTTAAAGTATTTATAAAATTAATTAACTATGGAATATGTTGTGAAAATTTAAGGAATTTTGAAGTCTTTTGTTGCTTGAAGCTAGACGGAAATGAGAATACTTGTGAAACCATCCTCAACCCCATAAAAATGAAAATAAAGTATTATTTAGCTGGTGAAAGAATCTTTTTTCCATATTTAGGTAACGTTTTATTCAAAAGAGGATGTTTGATTTGGACTTATTAATATTATATTGTTATAAAAGGACATTGTTTTCAATCCATAAGCTGAAAAAAAATTAACAACAAAAAAATTTACACCTATCCTCAAAACAACTAAAACAGCCAGTCACAAATGGCTTCCATTTTGAGCAGCAAATTTTGCAAATTAGTTTGTTTGAATATCGCTTACCACTGAATGAAGAAAAATTATTTGTAGATAACAGCATCTTGGGAAGGGTTAAGAAACAAATTATAATTAATTTTTTTCTGTTTCTACATATAAACCAATTTTTAAATATATAGTTTAAACTGAAAGAGAAAAAACACAGTATCTTATTTGGATCAAGAACTTCCTCATTTTATTTCATTTTCTGGGAAACATAATAAGCTCCTAATTCTTAATAAAATGAGATAAGATAAAATACAATCAGAAGAATATTTTTTAAAAGGCAATTACTTTCATTGTGTTGTTGATTACTTGATAATTGTATAAAACACATGAACAAGTAACTTACAAGGTGATTTCTTTCCTGTTAATTATGATATTGTGGGTTAACCTAAAAACTGAAAAGTTTTAAGCACGTATTTCGGTGTAAGTTAAGGGTATCAAATTACCCTTTAGTTTAGGAAGGAGTCATCCAAGTGTCCTAAAGGAACAGAAATTGAAGGAAGAAGATCTGCATTTCCAAGAATAGAAACGATTTCTGAAGAATGGAAAGATACCAACATGGTACCCAGCCATAAGGAAAGACCTCCATAATTACAGATCACGGAGCCAGGAAACTGACAGAGTATAATTAAGGACAGAATAATCTAACACTTGTATAAAGTACAAATTAATAGGACCATGTCTCCAAAACACAGCTAAGATTGAAAACCCCAGAGAAGGTCAGTGGAGACAGTTATAGAAATTTCCAAGGAGAAGTTTCATTTAACTTGAAAACAACCCATGGAGACTGGTGAAAAGATTAAAATTTGCATTTTATTAAATGGAAATTGTCAAATCACTCCCCAATCAATGAACAAAAACCAAATCAAAATACCAAACCTTTAATGTTAGTATTATCTAACATTATTCTATATTTAAATAATGTGCATTTAAATATAGAATAATGTTATTTCATGCACTTGCTTATAGAGTTACATGGAAAAGTACCTGTAATACTAGAAATCCCTCATGATGAAAGATGAAAGCAGCTCTTTGTTATAAGGACGATATTATCAACAAATTTTCGTAACGTCACAATTTCAGTATAACAAATTTAGGACATGAATCATATAAATGAAATCCTTTATATGACAGGTGTCTGGCCACTGTGTTCTTACAGTAGTTCCTGAATCTGACCTATAGATCTTGACATAGATTTAACCTGATTGATGAGATCAGGCACTCATCAGATCCTGCCAAACTAATCAGACAAGAAGCCATTCAGATCACATTAAAGTTTCTGTTTTTCTCAGACCTAGAAGATATGTTATTTAAAATAATTTTTACTTAGCTGGTAAAAGAATCTATTTGTTCATATTTAGGTAATGTTTTATTCAAAATAGTATTTTTGATTTGGACTTATGAATATTGGATTGTTATAAAAGGGAAATTGTTTTCCGTCCATAAGCTGTAAAAAAGATAACAAAAAAAGAATTCTGCCTATTCTTAAGACAACTAAAAAAGCCCATCACAAATGGCTTCCATTTCGAGCAGTAAAAGTATTAATATAATGGTTTTACTGATGGAAAATGTCAAAGAAAATAGTTTGTGGTAGTATCCTGTATCCTTGAATGAAGGGTGTTCTTTTATGGTACTAAAATTTCATTATCATTATATAGCTGACATTGGACCTTCTTCAAATCATTTGAGAAATGACTGGTGAAGCTATCATAGGACTTGGCATGTCTTCCAATTCATCAAGGTATCAGACAAACCCCTCAAACCTTAGACAGGAATGTTTAGGATATCATGGGAGTCTTTTGTTGTGTGCTACACCCTTGATTATATCTTCTGTAAACATGGCCTGGATTGTTTTCATCAAAATTATTAAAAGGATAGTGTGAGGGTGAGAATGCTTTATCTCCAAGGAAATATGACTCAAGTAAATTTTAAGTGGAAAATAATATGATTTCATCTTTGAAAAGTAGACAAGAGTAGTTTTAGAGAAAACTAGAGAAGAGAGTTGCAGAATCTTTAAAGTGACCCAAATTCTGAAGCTGATCTCAGTGTTGTTTGGGGAAAACACTGAGTAACATGAACCTAAACCAAACAAATGAAAACTCAAGTAATGATAATAACTTATATTTAGTTGAAATCATCATTTATACCAATGAAAATCTGAAAAACTTGAAAAGCTTCTTTCCAAATCCCCTTGTTCACCTCATTAGCTGTGTAAAGATACATATGATGCCTGTCTCAACTTGTAAAATCCAGATTATCTACCTCAATTAAATACAGAGTCTCCCGGTTAGTACTGATATTAGACCGAAGTGCCACTCCGCCTGCAAGCACAGTGAAGCCCTTTCCTTGGAAATCCGGAAGGCTCTCCATGTGACTTTCACGAGAGATCCCCAACAAATTCTAGAACAGTTCACAGAAGCATACTGAGCACTGGCCACAAGCCATGTCTTTCCTCCAAGCATCTGTGAAACACGTATGTAAATAAACAGGGCAGAGTAAAATGCACAGAGTAAGTCATTTTACAGGCAGTGAAAGGAGGATTGGGTGGCTTAAAGTGTTTAATTAAAAAAAACCTTTAAATTCTTACTTAGGAAGAGAACACAATGAATATACTTAAATAACAATGCAAAAGTCTTAGGTTGGAATATGTATAAGACATTGAGAGTTAGATATCCGAGTGGTTTATTAAAATATATTCTGGAATCTTCTTTAGTGTTTAAAACAACTTCACCATATTGAGCTGTGATGGTTTAGCTATGGTCCTATCAAAGCAAAGGGCTGGAATCAAAATATATTTTCTTGTTATGCTGTGATGTAAATATTTTGCATATATAAAGGTCTTTGAGTTTGCCACGTGGTAGAAAATCAGGTGTTGCCTTCCCTCTCATCCACCCATCAAGACCCTGATATCAGACATGATACTGGCACTGACACGGATGATGCTGTCTGTCTCTCTCTCTCTTGTGGGTGTGTGTGTGTGATAGAGGAGGCATTTCATTGAGTAAACAATGTAACAATTATATGGAAATTAGTGCCGTGAGTTCTAATTTGGGGATCTGCAGTCTACTTACTTCCTAGTGTGATGAGTCACATCAACTCTGGAATAATTTTGCAAAGTATTAAATGCATGAATGATGGCACACTGCTACCTCACAGTGTCATTCTAAAATAAAATTAGTCAAATTGACTCATTGTAAAGACTTGAGAGCCGTGATTATGTTGACTGATAAAGCAACACAATTATGATGACGGTAAAAATACAGAATCACTTCCAAAGAGCTGATAGGAGAAAGAATCAGTAGAAACTTATAAAAATGGTTACGATTGAAGAGACATTACACAATGGGTGTAATAAATGTTGAAAATCATGAGGCTGTGCACAACAGTTTTATTCCATGAGTGGCTCCGGAATTTCAGCAAGCGCTATTAAAGGAACAGATGAACTCGCCCCCAATTACCAAATTGACCATAAATGAAGCATTTGGCAGGAGGGCGAGTCCTGAGAGAGAAACATTTCAATGCTGATGCTTAACTGTCAAAGAGTTAAGTCACTTTAAATTGCACACATCAAGATGAACTATTCTATTTGGAGAGCTATTTTTTTTCCTTTGCTTGTAACGCAAGAAATGATCCTGTGTCCTGGAGGAAAGATGATGTTGATGCCAACATAGAGGCTCACTGCTATCGGGTTGCACCTGCTCATCAGACTGAAATATTCAAGTGCAAGAGTTCCACTGATATATACATCTCAGGAAAAAGATGATTAAGGTCATAGAAGTTATAACAAATATTCTTTCTTGACCCTAACCCTGAGATATTATAGGTGAGAAACAATGATTTCTCAAGAGTAAACATATTTCCTCAGAGCCGTCCAATAGTTACAAGTCTGAACCTTCCAGGGACCTGTTTTTAAACATGCTCACATTCTCAGGCAACTTGGATACTTGGTCTCTCCAACTTTATTGGGAAAGATCCATTGTTGGGAGGCACAACAAAGCGTTTCTTCAGTGGGACATCATTCTACGGCCTGGACAGTTACCATCAAGGCCCTATGGACCACATGGAACAGGAAGTGATGGGAGAAGCATTTAGGAGCCACCTCTCAGAGGATGAGTGGTTGGAAATATTGTCCTCTGACTTGGCTTTGCAAGAAAACAGAATCTTTCAATAACCATATCACAAAAATTATCCCACACAAGATTAAACAATTCTGAAGAGCAAAGGAATTTTCAATGAAATGTCATTTAGGTCTAAAGGAGCACCTATGCTTTTACTATGGAAGGAGAGAATTAGTTAATTGTATTGTTGCTTCTGGATTTAAGGTGAAAGGTGAAGTTAAAAGTTTGGAGTATTTTGGCAAGACAAACATATCTAAGAAATCGTATTTTTCTCTTAAAGGCATAAGCAAATGCTTTGCTACAATAACAAGGATAGTAAGTATTTTTTAAACGAAGTGAACTATATAATATTAATATCATAGAAGTAGAAATTAGATATGAATAGAAATTGAGATATTTTATCCCAAGGCTCACATACAGATAGAGTCTCTAATGAGCAAGAAATAAAAATTTCAATTTGAAGTACTACATCTAGGGTCCATAGAACCTTAAAACTGTATTACTTAGTGGTACTTGAAGTTGTACTTTTACCTGTAAGACAAGACAAAGTCATATGCGGGGTATACACAAACACACACAGAGTACATCACACAAAGCGGACTGTTCTTGTGTTGTGTTACCTTAAACATAGCGAATGTCATCCTTGTACTCATGAAATATTTGTTCAATATCTTCTTCCTGAGTAATATTCACGTGTGGCAGAAGATAGAACACAAAGTAACCTAAGTCCCTATCTTCTGGAAGATCACAGGTTGCTGTTGAGTGTGGAAGGGAAGTTGGAGCAAGGGGAAGATGAGCGGAGTAGGCGGAGGAGGAAGGGGAATACGATGGGGAGGAGAAAGTGGAGGAGGAAGAGGAGGAGCTCTTCTGTTCAGTGGCTGGAAGGCCAAGGAAGGGCTTGTGGCTGGGAAAGAATGGGAGGCAAAGGAGGTCTGAGTGGCAGGAGAAGTCTGTGGCCTGAAGCTCTGTATGACTTTGCAAAACAGTTGTAGTGGCCATATTGGGATAGAGAGCAACAGGAACACAAGGGGGCGTTCAGAGAAGAAATGCTTCTCCTCAATGTTTTGAAGATGATGGAGAGAAGAAGAAAATGTCCAGAGACCATGGAAAACAATGATCACTCATGTCAAGTAAAGCTACTGTGGGAACGCACTTGTAATGAAAGCAGAGAGTTTTGAAATGCAGAGTCCCTGCAAGTACAAAGGACCAAATTTGGAGATCAGGCCATGTTACTGTTGTGAGCAGTGCAACATTACTTGAAGGCTAGCTCTGAGTAATTAAAGATGTATATTGTAAATGCTAGGCCATCTTTAATTGTTTTTTAAAGGCATGAATACATCAACAGTGGAGATAAAATGGAACCATAGCAAATGATCAGTTAAACCAAAAGAAGGAAGAAAAGAGGAAAAAATAAGTAAATAAAAGATGAAATAAACAGAAAACTGAAAGAAAGATGTTAGATTTTAATCAAACTGTATCATTAATCTCATCACATTTGAGAAGTCTAATTTTACCAATTAAAAGACTGAGGTCCTCAGCTTGTATAAAAAAGGAAGAACCAAATCCCCTTGGCTTCTAGTTCCTGATCACAACCCATCATTCCTCTCATGGAAACCACTCTTCTGCCCCTCCTGATCATCATTTCCTAGCTTTTAATTAAAGTGCCATTCCATATCCAAAATACTGATCATTTCATTTTGCCTGTTTCTTGACATGAATAGAAATTATACTCTATGTATTATTGTGTGCCTTCCTTACTTTGCAAATATAATGTTTTTAAGGTTAACGTATTTTGTTATGAATAGGTTGATATTATTTACTCTGTTTCTAGAGTATTCAATTGAATTATGCCAGAAATTAGATCTCTGTTCTATGATAAACATGCAATTAAATTGTTTGAATGTTTGCCTCTCATAATTATATATACACAATTATATATATATACACATACATATATATTCATAACAGAATTATGTGTAAAAGCCAAAAATTAAAAGAACCTGAAGTCCCTATCCAAACACAAAGACTAAAACATCCATATGTATGGATGGAACTATACACACATGCTTATCGGTTCACACACACAACCGTTTCTCCAAGACACACTTAGGGGAGAAATTGCGAGGTGGTAGATCTTCATTTTTACCCAATAGTGCCAAGTTTTTTTCAGAGTATTTGTGCTTCACGGCCACGTCCATCCCACTGTAGCCATTCTTTCAGCCCATCTGAGCTGTGGCACATTTCCTGACCGCACACGTGAGCTGGGCCCCCAGCGCTGCCCAGCGACTCTTCACACTGACCTGTTTGATTTACTTTCCTAAACCCTTGTTTTCAGACCAAAGCTTTCCTGTGAGCTTTGAGTCTCTAAATCTATTCGTCATGTGGATATCTCAAAGAAAATCCAAAGCAGGCATGTATGGACACAGGACCCCTCAAATCTGGGTCGATTCAGGTGTTTTCTCTGTCACTGACCTCAAACCTGTTGTTTGAGCCAGAACCCTAGCAGTTCTTCATTACCTCTTCCCACCTGTGCACCTACCAGACCCCAGCCAGCTGTCTGAATGTCCTCACCCACCCAGAGCTCACCACCCTTGGTTGTTCATCCAGGAGCCAAAGCGACATTCTTCAAAAGCACCTCTGCTCACCATGCTGCCTGCTTTCTGCTGTCCCCACTGAAAAGTGCTGGCTGCCCTCAGGGTGAATGCCCAGGTCCTGTCCATGGTCCCAAGGGCACCTCTGTGCTTCTTGCCTCCCCCAACCCAGCCTTCCACACATTTCTTCTGCGTGCCACGTCTTCCTGGACCACGCTGCTCTCCCTCTTTCCTTCTTTCCCGCAGCCTCATCCTTCAGATCTCAGCAGACTCCTCCAGGTGCGCTTCTCCAGGGTCACTTCCTGCCCCCAGCCCATAGAGCTCTGTGCTTTTCCTTCCAGGCACACATCTCACTGAGCAGCCACACATCCTGAGGGTGGTTATTTTGCTTTACATCGATGTTTTATTTAACTGTCAGGAGCGGGACACTGCTTTGTCTATTTGTCTGTACACTTAACATGCTTTAAGTGTGGTCCCTACCAAGGGAAGGCATTGGTCTAGTTGGTAGCTACATAAGAACAAACACAAATAATGCCCTTAAAGGCTCACACACAGTGAGAGATAAGAAAGTCCAGTAGAGTGTGAAGGAGCTGTGAGGAAGCCCCATATGCCACATCAGGTGAGGTCAGGTGGGAGGGCTCCAGTGGTGTGGAAGGCCACCAAGGGGCAGGACGATGAGTGAGCTATGAGTAACGTCATGTCCAAGGCGGAGGGAGGATACTGCTGGGATGGGTGCGCGTGAGTGGAAGGCACAGAGACAAATAAGTAGGTAACACTCAGGGAGCTTCCACCAGCTCAGGAAGACAAAGGATGAATACCAGAGGAAGGCCACAGCGACACAGTCAGTGAGTTAGAGAGGAAAGAACTTGGAATCTGGGACCAGATGTGAAGACATGCAAATCAGCAGTATATTAAGCACGTGCTGTGTTTCCTTGCCTTGGTTAGGCTTGCTTGCAATATGTAATTTAATCGTTGAGGAAACTTACTCCGACTGCAAAGCCTATTGTTGCTGCACCTCAACATTGCTTTTAGAATTCAAAAGACTCAGGTGTCTCCTATACAGACCAGGTGTAGAAACTGAACCTTCTTCCAGATAATGGTAAGATTAGTAACTACCACACAGGGGACTGAGAGCATCAAGTCCAGTTAGCCCACGAGGAACAAGTGCTTTAGCTACGGCCCAGAGATGTGCCGTGCTACTGAGCATTGCTCGGTGGTCACAGCGAAATCAAGCACATCATTAATGGAAGCAGCACCCCCAGCAGGGGTTCCCTTACCAGCTGTGCCTGGACAAGCATATAGATTTTGGGGGCCAAATTAAAAACATGGGTTATCAAATTTTGCTTTCTTTAACAAAATTTCAAAAGATTGAATGTTTTGCTTAGTTAACTAATATTTACTGATTTGCATTTTGTGCAAGAAATTCCCCCAACTCCCCGTGTGCATATCAGAGGCATGATTCCCTTTGGCCTGATGTCTTCCAGCACTTTCTTCTCGTCACTCGAGCCGAATTCTAGAAGTCGTCCGCCTGGCCTCCTTCTCCCTCTGCCTGGCAAGAAAGTGGTCAGAAGCCTGGTGGCCCGGGAGAGCCTCGGCTGTCATGCTGACGTGACTGTCTTTGCAGGACACCTTGTATGACTCTTAGAGAAAGGAGCAGTGCTTCTGCGGAAAGGTTGTAACCTGTAGGGGAGTTACTTTGGAACACTTTGGTTTTTTCTACACTCTTAGCCAGTTGTTCTTTTTCTCTTATTTTTACATTTTTTATTAAGTTTTTCAGAGGCCAACTAGGGTGTAGTTTTGATATTTTTCCCAGCATGGTGTAATGGATTGAATTTAGTTCATGTAGCATACAAGAATTATCCTTTTGCTAAAAATAACATGTCAATACACAATGGAGACATTCTTGAGAGTTTTTAGCTGAAAGATAATATTCTTTACATACGTCTCCAAAGCATTCAGTACATATCAGAAAAACATCTCTAGATGTGCAGAGAGGGGCCAGCGCTTCCCAGCCCCACGGGCCCCCGGGAGACCGCCACCTGGAGCCGCACTTTCAGGGAAAGCCACCAGAGGGCACTGGGCCCAAGACAAGTGAGGGGAGGATTCCAAACTGGACCTGCTTAAATATTGAGGATAAATTTACACTTACTCATTACCAAGAGGATACGTGTGTATTTTAAAAGCTAGGAATCACCAGAAGCAATTTTTTATTCTTTAAAAAAATAGTTGAATAAGGGCCAAAAATACTAGCTTGAATTTTTTTAGATGATGCTAAATTTACAGAAAAAAGTTACGTTATTTGATATAAAGTCATCTCTAAGTACTGGTTCGTATAAAAAGAAAAAATCACAAACTGCCATTTTCCAAGGAAGAGTCATATGTGTGTGTTGATGCAGGCTTTAAAAATGTCGTTCTCCCATTTGAATCACCTAAATATGTACGTGGAAAGAAACAAAGAAATGCACAAATCTAAATACAGCGGCCAGGTGTACCTGGCAATCAGTGCACAAACAACTCGGTAAGAGGCCCCGAACCTTCGTCCCCGCGGCTCTATTCTGCTGCTTAGTGCGTCGTTGCTAGACCACTCCACAGCAGGAATGAAAGGAGGGATTAGGAGAGCTGCTGAATGCTTGCTTCATTTTCCCGGTGGTTTGGCACGAAGTTATTATTTAATATTTATCACTGGTATTTCCACAATTGCCGAGCCCCGCGGAAGAAGCACATTGTACGATGACCCCCAAGACTCCAGCTGTGAGCGGCCTGGGCTGGAACCCCAGTCCATGATGCAGACAGGCTGGTGTTGGTGTCTGCTGCTCCACGCTCAGCAGACAGGGCTGAATTGTGTGCAGGAGGAGTCTGTTTCCAAAGCCTCTTCAGTGGTTACAGCTGGAAAAAGGGTGAGAAGTGGACCAAGCTTCTGCACAGATGTGGAAAGGAAGTGAGAGCTGACAAGCAAAAGCTGTGTGCCGGGTGTGTGCAAAACCAGAGAGGAAAACTGCATTTTTAAGTCAACATTAAAAATATTATTCAAAAGTATACTAACCTATTATAAAGGATTTGGGCCATGGAATAAAGGCAACAGAAGAAAACAAAAATGATGCATGGTCTGTACGCTCAGAGATAATAATGCTGTGAAAATATGGAACATGTTCTTCTATTCTTCTGGATTTTTCCATTTGAAGTTGACCTTAGTTGCCTGACAATATGGATGGTATTTCTTACAGCAGGAAGGCACCCATAAAATTTCCCCCCTTTCCATACTGCGGGGCAGAGAGAGGAACATGACTTGGGGGGTTGGGGAGGTGCATCTCCTATCATGAGCCCTGGTGTCCCAGAAGAGCTCCTCGTGGAAGCTGGGGAAAAATAACTTGAAACTTGACTTCACTACCTACCAGCTCTGTCTCAGCTCAAGGCCTAGAACCTTTACAATGTTTCCAGACAGGAGATGAACTCTTTTCCTATCAGTGTTTTAAAATGGATTTACACATAGGATATATACAGTGCAGAAGCAATGTGGTACACAAAATATTGACTACATTCAAATGCTCAACTTTTTCCTTTTGAAAATACAGAGTAAAATTCAGAACTTTTCTAAACCTAAAAAAAAAGCAAAAAATAAAACCTCAAATGTCTTTGTAGTAAGTGAAATCTGTGTCATAAATACCTTTCTCAAGATTGGGACCTGGGCAAGGAAGTTTCCTGATGAGGTTATGAACCTGCCAGCAGCGCCCAGTAAAGGAGGCAGAGATGGTTTACAGTTATGCATTACATTATCAGTTATTTTAATGGACTCCTTTGGGATATTTTATCTGCAATATGCAGCAATTCACTTGTGTCCTATTAGAGAATTTCAAATCAGGTCGCTCTTCAAAAGTGTTGTCAACTATGTGGGACTTTGGCTCCGAGAGGGAAAGACATCCTCCTGGCTGGAAGCCATTGTAGCTGGACCTTCGCACACAGGTAGAGGGCCCTTTATTAACACCCGCAAGCTGAACACTGAGGTCTCAGAGTGAACACAGGACAAGGAAAGGAAAGCTGAGGCTGGGAGAACTCAGGAAGGCTTCCAGGCCCTGGCATGGGTGAAGAGTGCTCCCCTACTAAGTCCATGTCCACCCAGAACCCCCAAGGATGACCTTATTTGGAAACAGTATCTTTTAAGTCAAGATTAGGACATATTGGTTTATAGTAGGCCCTAAATCTGATGACTGGTGTCCTTACAGGAGAAGAGACAGAGATGCATGGAGAAGACCATGTGATGGTGGGGGCAGAGATTGGAGTGATGTGTCTGCCAGCCGGGGAATGCTTGGAGCCACCAGAGCTAAAGAAGTCTCCAGAAGGAGCCAGCCCTTCTGAGGCCTTGGTTTCAGATGTCTGGCCTCCCGAGCTGTGAGTGAATATATTTCTGTGGTCTTAAGTCACTAATCTGTGGTCCTTTGCAGCAGCCACCCCAGGGCATTCACACAGACCCACTGCTGGTCCAGCAGCCAGCAATAGAGCAGGAAGAACTGGGCCGTGAGACGCTCATCCCTACACACAAGTGCACCATGGGCTTAAAGAGGCCTCAGGAACCAGAGAATGTGAATTCAGCATCTTGCACAAAAATCTGCAATTAAATGTTTGGTGCAGATCCTCCATAATATCTACACAATGAATGCTTAAAAATGCTCAACAAACTAGATGTGAATCTTTGGAGAGGTCAATGTGGACAAATATGTAAATTGCCAGGGAGCAGGAATGTTGTCTGAAGGAGGGGAAGCAACCAAGAATCTGGGAGAAAGGAAGCCAGCAAGTTTTAGGATTTCTTTGTGAGCAAAATACAGTCATCTTTGAATAACTAGACTCTGTGTCTTGGAAAATGCTGCCCTGTTTGATGGGTACCTATGGTGTGGGGTCATCTTGACTTTGATTGAGAGATAATAATGTTTAGATACTAATTCTTCTATAATTAGTTTATTTTGCTCTGTTATTATTTTGAGCAAAGTTATTTTGAAAATGACATTATGCTCCTGCTATATTAAGAAAGTCTCTTTTCCCCTTTGTATTCAGACTAAAATGTTGAGTACGATGGAGGAAATATTCTGCTAAAAAATTCCCAGTGCTGAGGAATGTTCTGTTATTCATTGTTGTGGTATTTTCTCCAGCACATGCTCAATTGCTTAATTACTATCAGCTGAGAGTGTTCTTACCCACGAGTAGGGAATCACTCACAGCCTCTGAACATACAAGGGTTCAGGGAGGATAGAATAAACACCTATGTAACTAATAACTAGTATGTATTAAAACTCATGCCATATGGAACTGTGGAGAAGCGGCTAATCTAATCCCCTCATTCTACAGAAGAGAAAAATGAGACAGTGAGTCTTTGGTTTTGCAGCCACTAAAAGATGGATGCACATCCTGCAACTTGTAGAGATGGGTTTCTCTGTAAAATCAGTGAGGTTACATTAATAAAATTCTATATTTTTGAGGGGAAATACTGGACAGTTTATTTAAAAGATGTAAGTACAAGAATAAATGGAGAAACGAGCAGCTGCTGCAACAGAGTGATAAACATGGCAGATAGAAGCCGATAAAACAACCACATGATAAACAGCATTGATGCTGGATATCAATGAATTCGCCTCCTAAAATGCCTAAGAAAGTAGAAAGAAATACATAAGAAGAACAATATGGATGCAATTTAGAAAATGTTGGGGGGGGGTTGTTCAATCATGATTTGAGCATGGCTTCTAAATGGCTTAGAATCCAGTTTTCTGTTAATAAGTAGATCATGTGTTTAGGATATTAAAGGAATAGTAGCTATCTTTCACAGAGTGAACTTCCAGGGCCTTTTAAGGTTTTCCAGTTCCACAGATAAGTTGGCCTTGTGGCCACCCTAACCCTAACCCTAACCTCATGGCCACCTATCTGTACCTGATCCTGTGGATGGCATTCCATGTCTTTCCTGGCCTTCCTGGAGCTGCAGGTTCCAGCCCGTTCCACCCAGCAGCAACAACCTCCCTTCTCCTGCCGCCCCAAGGAAGCACGAAACTGGACTCACAGCAAGCCTGAGATAGACTCAGAAATGTACTTATTGATGATGATGATGATGATCTACAATGTTGACGACTCCAAATTTTCATGATTTTTCCAAATTGTAATTAAACTCCCTCAAGCATAAAGCTAACACTGGCACAGAATCATGGAAACATCGGTCACAGCTATGCCCAAGAGTGGATTCCAATGGGTCAGTGCAGCTTGTGATGTTCTAGTCTACGTGTGTGAATGCATCTCCTTTGCTCTCAAGACATTGCCCTCACAGAGGAAGAGGAGCCTCTACCCTGTGTTTACTGAAGTTACGAAGCCCAGCTCGGCAGGCCACCTGGAGGGGTGTGGGATGCCTTCCTGGCCCGCACAAGAGCCGGCACACGGATGAGCACATGTGCACAGAGCGGGCGGCCAGCTGCAGGAGGATGGGTGCAGAGTTAGTTACGGGAAAAGGAAAGAGCAGCAGGCATGGCCGTGTTGGGACAGAGAGCTCCCTGTAGACTGGTCTTGCCACACCAGGATGCCCCTCATAGTGTGGGAGGCACAGGCTCCCAGGCACACCTGATTGTTCACAGCTGACTAGAACATTTGCTCCCCCTTCCCAGCGCACATCCGTACACATGTGTATATTCTGACCTCCTCGCGTGGGCTACTAGTGGCAATGCATGTCTGTGTTTCCCTTGTTCACTCCTCCAAGAACACTTACAGCAGTAATCAAAGTTAAATAAGCCCAGTTCTAGAACAGACTATGATTGTTGCACCAACCTCCTCACTTCACATGTAATCGGAATGAGGTCAGAGACAGGAGAACATTTTCTGGGGCCACCTCCCTGATAACAAAGTCAGGGCTGTAATTCTGGTCAGGAAACAACTCCTTTTTCCACATTTCCAAGCGTCTTCCAGGAGATCCCATGCCTGTGCATGAATGTATTTGCATTTTGGCTTTCCTATTGGTAAATTCAATGTTGGTACATTTTCCAGGATCATTGAATAAAAATATAACAATCTAAAGGTTAAGATAAAAAATAATACATACATATACGTATATAAATTAAAAAGGTAATGCTACTATGGTCAAGAAAAGCAAGCAAATCACACTAGAATACAAAGTGTTGGCTGTCTCTGAAGCATCGATAACCATCTTTTTCACAAACCTTCATCCCAAGTGTGCTATTCTGTCCCCCAACTTCAGAAAAGGCTCCCAGCTTCTTTATTTCAGAGTGACCTTGCCCATCCATAGTGTCACAGGGCAGTGTTCCGAGGGAGGGAGCAAGCAAGCAAGTGAAGAGAATGCATTTCCCGGCATCAAGTACCTGCTCTCTTAGTTTAGTGATAATGGTGCTAGCATGCAGAAGGAATTCTCTTCTATTGAGTCAACCATTCTCAAACTATTATTAAAACACGCCTTCTCCTAAACCACAAAGAAAAAGAGGCAGGAAGCTCCACACAAACACACAATTAAGGGTATCCGTGTGAAAACCTCTCAGCGTGTGACACATTTGCAAGCCACAGGCCTAGCCCCTGCAAGACAGCACCTCCCGGGAGGCAGCCCAGGTGGAAGTCAGGGCTCCACCACTCTATTGCCCATGTTGTGCTCTGCCTGGCCCTGAACATTGCTTTAATGCATTTATTCTGGATTAATAATATGGATTAGCAAGTAAGAGGTTGATTAGCTTTATTATTTTTGCATTGGCAATTATTTTAAATTGAATGTTGAGCATTTTTTAATTAGACTTGCTTACTGTGAGCAAAAGGAAAAATAGAATGTATGGTGCTGACTACTTGAAGCAGACAAAAAATAACATACGTAATTATAAAATCAGCATGTTACAGCAGCAAAGATTCAAATCTAAAATGGTGACACATAGTGAATCCTTCATGTCCAAAGCTTCCTGAAACAGGGTCGGGGCAGTGTTTACTTGGAGGGGGCTGCGATATCAGTGGAAACCTTATACATGTTTGCAAATGGAGATGATGCAGGAAGCTTGTCCACTGTGTAACTCAATTCACATTGCGCATTATGTGAATGAGATGTGAAAAATAATTTCCTGTATCTCTGAGGTATCCCAGCCCTAAGTGGATTGCTGGCTCTGGCCCATGGAAAATAATAAAGTGACATAGACTGCACCACCACATTCAGCAGGGACTCTGTGTCGTTTTCCTTCAAGCTTACTGGTAACAGCTACCATTCGATTCACAGGGAAACGACCAATTCTGCTCCAGTGAAACAAATTTTAATGAGCCCTCATTGCAATATTGTGTTTTAAGTGGTAGCTTTTAGCTCTTCAAAATTATGTCCACTAATTAGAGACATGTGATCAACCTAGTTATCTCCCAGCTATAAATTATAATACATATTCATAGTCACATGAATTTCATCTTCTATAAAACTGCCCTTATGCAAACAGTAATAGTAGCTATGTCATTAGAATATATCGGCAATTAATTCTCAAAATGATCAATGGGAAGAATGTCCTTTTCCCTCCATATCTGGTTTATTTATGTGTTCCCATTAATTATGCCTAATTTTCTGTTGTCACTTGTCTTCCTAATGTAATTCAATTTAAGCATATCTTTCTAGAGACTTATTAATAGGTAGGGTCATTTATATTGTGTAGCACAAATATTTTATAATCCACTAATCTTGACAAAAAGGCAATGCCTTCCTAATAAAAAATGTATGAGGAGTAATGGTTCCCTATTAATAACTTATTAGGTCAGATCACACAGTTTGAAGTGTCTATTACACTTTAATTTTATCGGATTTCTTCCTCTGGAATCCGCCACACTTCCCTTATCTTTTGATTGAGATTGTTTTTAGCACCATCCCAGCCTCGACAACCCCAAACAGCACTCGTGGCTTTGCCGTGGCCATAGTGGGTGGGATCGGCAAGCTCTGCTGCAGTGGGGCCTAGAGAAGGAGCAGTTCTGCTGGTGTGAAAGCGCCCTCTCCTCCCTAGAAGGGCGTTCATCATCAGATCATCCTGGATTATTACTGGCTCACACACCCTGTCAACAACAGACCCTTTCTGCAAAATGCACACACACACACACACACACACACACACACACACACACAGGAAATTCAAATATAATTTCAGGGATCCATACAAATCATGAAATTGATCTATGGACTTCTTAGGGGTAAAAGAAACAGAATTTAGATCTTTGGTTAAAATCCACTGTATGTTCATTATATACAGATAGTTTTACTAATAACACAAGCTGGATAAATATTCTTTTCTCAAATTGGCGCATTGTGGCCAAGATTTGTACAGTAACCTATTTGATGTGTTCTTTTAAATCCTTTAACGCTGACTTGAAAATGTTTCCATCGAATTGCTGAGACTTTCATGAGGTCCTGTGGGGATAATCTTCCACAGCTCCTGCTCTCAAGTAACTAGAGGAGAAAGATAGAATGTATTCATGAAAATAGAGTTCTCTTAGGCAAGATGTTTCACCTTCCCTAGACTTCAGGCTTCTCATCAGTAGAGTGAGGGAATTGGACAAAGTTGTTTAAAAGGTCTGTTCCAACTCTAGTTTTTCATGACTCTATCGATCTGATAAAATTATATGAATCTACAAAAGCAGGTCGTCATAATAATGTCTCAACGAATGTACAAAAGTTAATCAGACTGTCGGTGAGGAAATGGTCCATGCCCTCTGGGGCAGGTGCTACTGCGGACATGAGTTCCTGCTGGAGGCCTGGGCACTATTGTGTCAAGACTCAATTATGTTACAGTGAAAGGAGTCATACATGTAGTTTGGGAGGTGGTTATATTAAAATATAATGTATATGTAAAATTACCATCTCAATAAAATGTAGACTAGATTACTTTTCTCTTCATTGGCAACAACATGATCTAAGAACTGCTATTTAAGATAATTGGATGGGGTTATGAGAAACTTAAATGGACTTTGATGCTTCAATAATGAAAGATGAAAAATAGTACCCAAATTAAAGACATCAAATCTGTGCATATAATTAATAGCTCTTTACAGAAATATATTAATTTGGAAGAATACATGTATTAAACATCTTTAAGAAAATGGATTCAAGTTATGCCATTACCAAATAAGGCAAAAATTTTTAAAATCATGAATAGAAATTTACCTTAAGACTAAATTCTCCATTTTTTAAAAGCTATTTTGTTTTTGCCTTTTCAAAAAACATTTTGTAACTTTTAAATTATAAATATTAGCATCGCTCTATAAATCTCATGATATTCTAAAGACCCGCTTGAATAAAAGAAATTTGATGATATTAGATAATATTCTGTTCATCATAAATGCATTAAACTTGTGTGTGTGTGTGTGTGTGTGTGTGTGTGTTGTTTCCTCCAGTAGAGTTCTTAAGTGCCTCATTTGGAAAAAGGCATCTAGACCGACACACCTGCAGAAACGTAATTCCTTTGGATTCTACTCATAATTATCTATGCTACACATTTATTAACAAGCAGGCATGATGCTAGGTCTAGGAGATATGGATACAGAGAAAAGGAAGCCAGCCCTAGGTGTCAGTCCTTAAAGAAGGGAAAGAAACTCAACTTTAATAAGCACATACTATGTAATCAAAGTCTTTGCATGTGATGTTGATACAGCCTTGGCTCATCCTTCCACAGTGCTGTGAAGTAATGATCTCTGTCACTGTAGATTTGGAAAGGGGACCACATGGGGTCAAATCAGTTATTCAGCTTCATAAACATAAAAAAAAGTCAGAGTCATAATTCAAACCCAGATCCACCTGGATTGAATCATACTATATTTTTAAACTAAAAATAGAACAGCTAAGTAGCCAAAAAGCTAACAATAAACCACTGGATGGCAAAAGAGTGATTTAGGTAATTCATAGATTACCGACAGAAATTGCTGTTAGTTAAATGACCAGGGCACGTTTCACGGAGAAGATCCATGCCAGTGGAGGGTACTGTTTGGTAAAAAGACATTCAGGGCCGGGCGCGGTGGCTCACGCCTGTAATCCTAGCACTTTGAGAGGCCGAGGCGGGCGGATCACGATGTTAGGAGATCGAGACCATCCTGGCCAACATTGTGAAACCCCGTCTCTACTAAAAATACAAAAATTAGCTGGGCATAGTGGCACGCACCTGTAGTGCCAGCTACTTGGGAGGTTGAGGCAGGAGAATGGTGTGAACCCAGGAGGTGGAGGTTGCAGTGAGCTGAGATTGTGCCACTGCACTCCAACCTGGTGACAGAGCGAGACTCCATCTCAGGTAAAAAAAAAAAAAAAAAAAGGACATTCAGGACTTCTGAGCAGGTAGAAGGGCATCTGGAGCAAAAGAAAGAGACACCCCTGAGCTATGTCTATTCTGGGAGAAAAGTAAACTGATTTGAGAGGAAGTAATAATGAGAGATAACGGTGAACGCTTTGTGGAGGACCTTCTGTCCTGAGCTCAGAGACTTATACATTTTTTCCCATAAAAACTTAGAACTTCACAAGTTTTCGAGCCAGGTTTCTTGCATGGTCATGAATGTAAAAGAGATTAATTTCCAGTGATCTTTAGGATGCACTAGGATAATAGTTAAGATGCTATTCTAATAGCACAGTTAGGGATTTATAAAAGAAGAAACATGGTTGATCATAGACCCCGTAGAAAGGAAAAGGCACGCAGAAAACACGAAGAAACAGTCGTCTCAGTGATCAGTGGAGAAGGAAGACCATAGGAAAGAAATGAGTGAGAGACGATGAAGACTTTCAGCCTGTTTAACTGGTGGGAAGTTGAAAGCTTTTCTGAAATGACATTGGAAAAAGGAGCTGGAAGTTCTGGCAAGAGATAATTCACTTCTGATCACTGAGGCTGTGTTTAAGAGGCAATGTCCTACTGTGGACTGAAGCTTCTCATCTTGAGATCTGAAAAGTTGTTAGAATGAGAACCTTGACTTGCTACTCGTTTGCATTGAGGTGATACCTTAAATCTTCAGGATAAATAATTTATCTCCTGAAAAGAGAAAAGTGTGCAAGTAAACGAACTTTGAGGAACATTCTTTGGAGGAGGAGGATGCAAGGGAGCAGTTAGGGCCCTAGACTCCAGGAATGAGCTTGCTCTGCGTGGAGATGCCCTAGAATCCAAGAATGAGCTTGCTCTGCGTGGAGATGCCCTAGAATCCAGGAATGAGCTTGCTCTGCGTGGAGATGCCTGCAACAGGAAAGAGCCCTGAAAAACCAAGGGCTACGGAGTCCTCACAGGGATTGAGGATGATGTTAATAACCTGGAGTTGTGTTTTCTAATGGCCTCCCGGAGGAAATTTTAATAGGAAGACCAAAAGCCAGATGGAAGGAAATGAAGGACAGTTGTTGGCTGTTGTATAGAAATGGAAGCAACGGACAAGACCCTTTTGTTAAACACAACTGTTTGTCAAAAGAGGAGAGGACATTGGCCACCAGCAGCAAGGATCAATAGGAACCAAAAAATATGTTTCCCGTGCTTTTCCCCTTAGTCTGCAAGACATAGAACTTTGGACACAAACACAAAGTGGGGAAAGATGAAGAGAGAGAACGGGAGGCAGAGCTGCTCAACATCACATGGATTGCTTGAGAGAGAAAGCATGCTGAGGAGGTCCTTTATGTTGTCCTTTGAAATAAATATTATTTCACCCAGGCTGAGTAAAGAATGAAATAGTCTAAGTGATGCATAGACTTGCCTTAACATGGATAGTGGGATGATCATGGCTGGTTAGTGTGGACACCCTCGTTCATCTCTGCAGGGTAGATAGGCACCTACACCAAGGGTGAGTGCACGTGGGCTGACATGAGGGCTTGGAGGAAAAGCATTCTCACTAACAGATGTTCCATGAAGAACGACTATGTGCCAGAGCTTAGTGCTGGAAGCTGGGAATGCTCCTTGGAATAAGAGAATTTTTAAAGAGGTGAATCAAAAAACCACTGTGCATGGTGATCTCATCAGCAGGTTGTTTTGTGCAGTGTGGTCCAGATCAAGAACGGAGAAGTGATGCTGAGTGTAGCCAAGTCGTTAGGATGTTAGTTGTTGGCGCATTGATTCAACACCAGGACAATAATCAAGTGGGCCCAAGAGTCCAGGGCCTTATCTGGGATATTATTTAAGGACTTCATTACAATATCTGATTGATGAAGAATCAGCTAGTTTTACTGAATGTTTTAAAGTGTATAAAGCACTTATATATCCTTTATCTCTGAAAGTCAAATGTAACTACAAACAGGCTAATAGGCTGGGTGAAGTGAGCTGGATTAAGTGATTTGAGATCACAGTGAAAACAGTCAATTCATAAGATGAGTTAATTAAGGAGGCTGTGATCAAAGACAGGAACGCTTGAGTTTAAGATTGTGGATGGACTTATGAGCCCAATTTAGGACCAAGCAGGTGGACCGGCCAGGCTGTGGGTTTTAAGGGTCTTTCTGTGGGGAGTCTGCCTGCCTGAAGCTGAGGAAGGGTGAACACAGCCAGCCACAGATAAACGCCTTCTGAAGTATGAACTGGGGCAAGCTGAGAGCCAGTGCTGGAATGAACAGACTGTCATCAGATCTTAAGTGTGGATGTGAGTGTGAAGTGAGAATTAAGGCAGGATGCTAGGAGCCAGGCCTTCCAAACAGTGACTGGGAAGAGAGAGCAGTGAGGAGGAGGTCTTAGCTCCCATCCCTGGGTGCTGCCCACGTTGTGGCAGCTGGTGGAGTGATGGCAGGGAGCTGTCCTAGACTGTGAGCCCTCAGTGGCCAAGCTTTTATCTTGCACCTGCTGCAGCCTGCTTCTCCTTAGCCCCATGCAATGGAGTGCAGGGGACAGGACGTCCATCAGGTCTCCTACACCGGCAGGGACAGATGTGTGGGGAGAGACTGGAGAAAGAACCTGGACTCCTGGGGAAGCTCTGACTGATCCCAAGGGACTGGAAGAGGGCAGTGGAAATAATCAGCACTGAATTTACACAAACACCTAACTCATTTACATAATGATGCTGAATTTACACACTTATTTACATACAACACTGAATTTACACAAACACCTAACTCATTTACATGACACTGAATTTACACAGCTAGCTCATTTACATAATGATGCTGAATTTACACAGCTAACTCATTTACATAATGATATCAAATTTACACAAATGCCTAAGTCATTTACATAATGACACTGAATTTACACACTTAACTCATTTACATAACAACACTGAATTTACACAAACACCTAACTCATTTACATAACAACACTGAATTTACACAAGCATCTAGCTCATTTGCATAATGGCACTGAATTTTCACAAACAACTAACTTATTTGCATAATGATATTCAACCTAAGAAGAGTCACAGTTTAAAACTCCTCAAAATGTGTGCCTCCCTCTTTTACTTTACTCTTTCTCACATTTGCAGTCTGAACAGAGACGGTATAGTTTACATCTTTAAATTGTCTCAAACAATAATCACGTTGGAAGAGCAGAAACAAAAATGTTGAGTGCTTTGAGAACCAGAGAAGCAACTCTGTTTATCTTTTGAAAAGAAAAATAGCACCAAATGCACAGAAAACTTATACCCCAATGGAAGGTCTTCAGGACGGCCTTCTACTTGACTAACTTGCATTGTGATTTTTCAAATGTATGAATATTTTTATTCAAATTAATAATAATAATAATAATAGGAAATCCATGATCCCTGATTGCATTGTTTTCTGAACATGTTTAAAATCAAAATGGGTAAACTTCCTCTTCTCATTAGCAATCTAACTATGGATTATTTATTTTTCATATTTATAAATAAAGTTTGAAAACATGGGGTAAAGTATAAAAAATGACTTCCTCAAATTTTGAGAACAGGGCTCTGTTCCTTTTTTATACTTTCAAAAAGTATTAAAAAGTCTCAAAATTTGACCATGGGTTAAAGTATAAGAAATGACTTCCTCAAAACTTGACTTCCTATAAATGTACGTTTATTCTTTAACCCAAGTCAAATTTTGAGATTTTCTTAATAATTTTTACATGATTAATAACTTTATCATATCAAGGCATGTCTGTGAAAATGTATTGCTAATTTCCACTAAAAGAATTTGAAACTCAAGAGTATGCACACTTTTAAATACAAAATAAAATGTAAAAATAGAGAAGGAATTGACCATTGTCAAAGAAAGCTCTTTGGGAACCAGTTCAGCTCACCACATTCCCTCTCTGCAGTGCTCAGTCCTCCCAGAGTCTAGTGCACTACACGGAGATGGTCTTTGATAATCTGCTGTTCCTTATTACATTTCAAGCTTGCTGTTTAAGCGAGTGCACTCCGTCGACATAATATTGTGCCCTCCGTGACAGCCTGACTTCCCTCCACTCCATCTAGGTATCAACCCTGGTGATAGGAAACCGAGAGTCACCAGAATATCATTCTGTAAACAAAAACAAAAGCCCAGCAACAACTTCTCCACCCCATCGTAAGAAGATCAAAAAGAAAATGCAAACAGCAGCTTCCCAATGCTTGTGTAGAATGGCCCTCCCACAGCACGGTGGGTGGAACAAAAGCCCCTTTTTGGCATTTGCAGCACCAGCAGCTGCAGGCTGATGCACTAGGCTTTCCGTTAAATAGGGGCTGGGGCATAAAAATAGACACTGGCATTTATTGGAAGCTTAAGCCTGTTGAAGTTTTACAGATTTAGAAAGTTCACTAATCGCTATCAATTAAAATCCCTGCCTCCTTGTTGCATAAATTATTCACAATGCAGCACACAATAGTAGGGCTTTTGGAAATATTTATTGTGGCCAAATGTTGGAAACAGTGAAGTGCAAACTAAAGATTTTTAAAAGTGCTTCAATTTGCAAATACAAAGGAAATGGCCACTTCAACAGCAGCACTGGACTATATCTTCATGTAAGCAATGAATGATAGGTGTGTACTAGAAAAGGGTTTGGGACCTGTGACACACTTCTAGCAAAATTTAATAAGAGAATTTTCTTTAGTCTTCACTTAAAATCAAAGAAACATTACCTAGCTAAAAATATCAGTCCAGTCAGCCATAAATATGCAAATACGTATGTGTGTGTATGTGTGCATACATGACTCAAATACACACATGTATGACTCTATAAACACCTGCACATTTATTAACATTAATTACTTTCTAACATCTGAAGGTTTTATTAAAAATTAGAATTAAAGATCAAACTGAGCAAATGCTCGTTCTGAGTTGAACACTGTCACCTGTGGATGCATTTTCAAATCTGTGCTGTTTTTGATCAACATTTTGTAAATAGTCACTTCACTGGCCCATTTTGCTCTATTGTGAGCTCTACCACAGTATCACACCACTTGCCCCAAGCAGCTCTCCTCAGAGGCTTTTCTTAAGCACTGGCGCTGGATCTGTCCCTACAGAACAAGGTCCGAGGTGAGCACCGCCAGAAGGAATGGGTCAAGAGCGGCCACCTGGGTTCTGTCACGGCTGTTTGACAATAGGAAACTCAGATATTGCCATTTCCTGAACCCTCACAAGCATCAGTGAAGCTGCTAAAAATTTCTCTAAAAGGGGGAAAGCAACTGGAAGAGCACATTCAACAATGATAATAATGCTGTCATTAAAGATTGATGAAGACTTTCAATTAGAACTCATTCCTGATCTGGAGCCGCTTAAGCCAGTCCTGCCTACTATGAGCTAACGCTCAGCAATGCAGATAAAGGGTCATTATAATCTATTGAATTCAATCATGACAAGTTCATTTACCTGACGGGAGCATGTATTACATACAAAAAACTAAATTAAAATAACATTATGGGTTGACTCGAATCCACACAAGAAAAGAAATTCAGAATGAAGGACAGAACTAATCACAGGCTAAGAATAACTTGATTTATAGTCCCTTTTTGTTGCAGAAAAATACTTATTCTGTTGTCCATCCTAACTGACAACGTAACCTTCCTTTGAGAGAGTACACTTTCTTATTCAGTAACGCTGCACTTCAATACGACAATGATAATCTCTGATATCTAAGCAGAAAGGTTTAAAGACATACCATTCATTAAAATGATTTAATAATTCTTTCATAAGAATAAATACAACACATACGATTGTGCAAATATACAGCCAAATATATTTATTTAAATAAATTTTAAGGTAGTATTGAAGCTACTACATATCTATAGAAACACATAATTATAATAAAATATTTGTAAATACTTCGTCACCAATTTTAATGTCTTGAATATTATATTTTTGACTAGAACATTCAAAATATTTATGAGGAGAAAGGCTAAATGTAAAATGATGTATTTAAATAATCATATATCAATAATATATATATATATACCTACATTCTTATTTTTCTAGTAATATTTAACCTCCTTGTAAGGCTCTGACCATTGAAAGATATACTTTCTATCCTAACACTATTTGTATTTGTTCAATTTTCTAAAAGATCTCCCAAGTCTAAGTTCACAGTGATTGATATGTTTTTGAACTTTGTCACTAAGTAATAAAAGGCAAATCGTTCATATTAAAGAGTTAATGAATGAGGTTCTTAACTGTGAAAAGTTGATAGTTCTACACTGAAATAAATTTTGCGAACTCGAAGGAAAACAGTCTCTCAAGATTTGTTTTATTACTGTTTTTTTTTTTTAAAGAGGGTTAGGTTATCGTTGCACTAACAAATTATTGGACATCTTTATTAAATATTATTTTAAAATCTTCAGTGAATGAGGACAGAGTAACTGGAGTCATTTCATCTTCTGGCTTGAACAATGTAATCTGCTTTGAAACACAAAAGGTTTCAGTCCTACCGAAGGAATTCCAGCACTTATGCGTCAACATTCTTCAAGCTGAAAGCACGTTTTAACTAACTTGACAGTGGATAAAGAAGGAAATTTCTACAGTGATTTCCTAGGTATATTCTATGTTACAAATCAGAATTTATTTCGGTCCTAATTAAGGACATCTTTGCTGTTGCTGTCTTCACTCACAGCGTCTACACTAAGTTCCTGCCGGCGGCGGTCCAGTCGATCTCTGAATGTTGAATTTTCCTAGAAACCCATTTTAGTGCCAGTTTAGGAGCAGCTGACGTGTTCACGATTTTAAGCTTCTACTGTTTTCATTCAATAAATTGTTAACATTATCCACACACACAGAGTAAACACCTGAAAGCACTAAAATGCTGCCCTTCTCCTGTTCTGTTACATACAGGGAAAGCTTTTAATGTCTCGAGTATTTTCTTTGTTGAAGGCAAGGAGTGTGAACACGCAAATGGGAGTGGGTGTACATGGTAGGATCCTTGGATTTAAAATATCCCTTTTATGTCAGAAATTCACTGAGTCTTTCTGAAAACACATCAGCCAGGCCTGTGTAGTGATCTCTACCATCTGGTGGCAGCATTGCACCGGTGTAGACCGCTGGAACGGCACCTTCCTTTGGAGACGGCAGAAATTAAAGTCCGTGTGGTTTTCTCAGGAAGCATCATTGTACATACACGATGGCTCCCAGAAAATTGCACAGTTACGTCTATGACATATTCCATAACACTTATTTAATCATCAAAACAGGACTTAATGTAGGGGTCTAATTTCTGTTAGCCTAAGTAGGCAGCAGGTAAGTTATGCTATTCAATAAAAATCACAATTTTATGAAATTCTATTTATACTCATATCTTAATTTTCATATTTCAAATATCCAGTAAGTGTTCAGCCAGGATAAAAATCCAGCATTTGTTATATCATTATCGCTGAGTAACTAAGCTAACATAACCCACATTTGTTTTCAATCATATCAGAGTTGCGTTCTTGAAATCCTCAACCTAATTTTTAGTGTTCGACAAAAATAATATATATTCTTTGGGAAGTAGTTCTATATGAAAGAATTTTTCAAAAATTATGTTCATAAAAATTCAAAGATGTATGTGCTACAAATAAAAGTTCCTTGAAAAAGAGACATGTTTTTGGTTAAAATATGCTCTATACCTAAATAAAGTAAGTGGAAAAATATAGATCTAAAATTGTTCTTTAATGCAGAGTATGTGTTTCTTAGACCCAATTGAGGGCAAGATAGCTACTATTAAAATAGTCACCTAAATATATTACTGTGATATATTTTAACTGTGCACATTACTTTTGAATTTTAATTGTGTTTTAAATTTTTATGTATTCAAATATTTAAATTTCAAAGTTTTGCACTATTATTAATTAAATCCAAGTAGAAATTATTTTTCACCTAAAGCAAACTGACCAGTCAGATGATATTGATGTAAGATAGGTCAGTTGCCCAGGTGGCGTGTCTCATAAAAGGCAGAGCCTCCCAGCACACGTCCGTTTCCTCGCAGGCCTCACACTGGGAAAGGTGGTCGCCATGGTGCTCCCGGCAGCAGCCCTCTTGCTCCCCTGGCCTCCTTCCTTCTAACTTCTACGTATCTATCGGTGCCATCAGTTCCTTGATACACGGGAAATGGAGAAGCAAACAATTTTAAAGCAAAATATCTCAAACCTTCCTTGGAACAGACTGAATGACAGTAAAGAACATTATAAAGGAAGTCAGGAGAGCCCCAAAACCTTCCAGTGTTCTGACCTCTGGAATATCGTATTTTTCATTCTGTCCCAATGATCGCATCTGAAAAGGACATTTATTCCTGGATTCACTACTCCTTTCAAAGATACATACCAGGCACCATAGTTTTACCAGATGCAATTACAGTCAAGATGGAATATGTTTTGGCTCCTAAAAATTATAGGTCCTAGATTTACTTACTGGAGCTTAATGAAAAAAAAAAGGCTCTAACTAAACAAAATAATTTCAATAGTAACAAAGTGAATTCTTATGTGGTTGATCTGTATAAAAATGCAGCTTTTTTAACCAAAAGAGAAGTTAATGGTTAAACGTGCGGAAGAATCGCAGCCAATGCAGAAGTGAGTATGGGTTTTGTTACTGTTGCTTTAATCCTTGGAGCCTAACACAGCGCCTGGTGTACAGAAAAGGAGCAACAGATATGGATAGAAAAGTGAGAGCAAGGGGCACACATGCCATCAGGCTCTTCTTCAGACTCTTTGCCTCATAACTACTCCTATACCTGTAGTTTGCAAAGGCATATTCTTTAGCCCGTGTGCAAAATAAAAACTAAAAATAAAAATTGTGTTCATGTCCTGAGAATAATAAATTATATGTATAATACACTATATATACACATATACATGCATAGATACATGTCAGCCTATCAACATGTACTTAACTATATATAACATATTGTACATATAGTATTTATACATGTTTACAGGCACACAGGTATATCCATACAAATCCATACACACACACACACACACGCATTTACATATGAACAATACGTAACACATGTTTTATATATACAACTCAGAGTGTATCATATAATATATCATAATAATATATTAAGGAAGAGGAACATGGCAACGTGAGATTTGAAATATTTGAAGAAATAGTGTGGAGATTATTTATTCATTTATTCCACAAGCCTCCTTTCCATGTCTACCATTTTCTGGTCTTGGTGTTAGAAGCTTAGGGATAAAGCAATAAACAAACACTGACCCTGAACTCATGAAGCTGAACAAAAACAAATAAAAATCCAATAATTTCACACATAATGTTTATGTTCTGTTTTTATAAGTACTATATTTAATAGATGTAAGAATCCTTTCATATCAGTAGTATATTGGGAATAGAAGTAGGTCTGGGCAATTGGTTTTCTTTGTTAAATACTCTGAGCTCAATTTTCATGAAGAGGCCCCGAATAAGCTCAGTGGGAGAAGGTGAGGCCTGTCATGACACTAACAAGTGCAATCTTAGCTTTTCTATGTATATGACACAGTATCTGGATAAAATTTTAAAATTTCAGTCAATGAATCTAATGCCTCAAATTACCAAAACATTTGGTTGAGTAGAGATTGCAAGGAGTACCTTGACTGCATTGTTTTGTTTTACATAGGCATTTCACATTTTGCTGTTAAAACTACTTATTTATAAAATAAGTTGAACAATCTTATTTCATTAAATCTACGATATGCTTGCTCTTTGCCTAATTAAATTCTTTTTCTTATGTTTTCTTTTTTAATCTCCTTTCATTCTACCCATGTTGCCCAGAGTAAAGACTCTATGCATTAGATAGGACATTTGGGGGCTTAATCTTCACAAAGTATTTAGCATTAAAATCATGTCGCCCTGAATTCTAAATTATTTTTATCTTCCCTGACATTACAAATTCCCTTTTGAGAAGTATTTTTTGGCAGTGTCTTGTTCCTCATGTCCAGATCCTTAATTGCATGACCATCAGGAAGGTGATATACAGTCTATTTAAAGATCACATGTTGCTGTAAATCTCTGGCACAGTGACGTGGTTTATAAGGCAAATTACAACTCTATCGGACTCCTTTAAAGCGATTAAGATTGTTCTTTTTGTTGACTGTTTTTGGTCACAGTAGGCAATGTTTTTTTTTAAAGGTTACTTTTGATAAAAGGTAAGATGCAATGACAAAAGGTTTCTAAGATTAAGACAAACACATTTTCCTGTGATTTTGGTAAATTTACATAGGAAATAAAAAGGTTCTAAAGGAGATTTTATCTGTAAATCGTGCTCTTGACATCTTGCATTCTATAAATAATGTGGAGCAAAATCAAAGAACTGACTCTCCTTGATATTTGTGCTCCCTAATGGGTTGAGCAATCTCTCTATCTCTAGTTATGATGATGTGGTCATGAGGATGTGGTAATGGTGCTGTGGTGTCATGGTCCTGGTGGCATCGCTGTGGTGGCATGGCTGTGGTGTCATGGTCCTGGTGGCATCGCTGTGGTGGCATGGCTGTGATGGCTTGGTCCTGGTGGCATCGCTGTGGTGGCATGGCTGTGGTGTCATGGTCCTGGTGGCATTGGTGTGGGGGCATGGCTGTGGTGTCATGGTCCTGGTGGCATTGCTGTGGTGGTGTGGCTGTGGTGTCATGGTCCTGGTGGCATTGGTGTGGGGGCATGGCTGTGGTGTCATGGTCCTGGTGGCATTGCTGTGGTGGCATGGCTGTGGTGTCATGGTCCTGGTGGCATCGCTGTGGTGGCATGGCTGTGGTGTCATGGTCCTCGTGGCATTGGTGTGGTGGCATGGCTGTGATGGCTTGGTCCTGGTGGCATCGCTGTGGTGGCATGGCTGTGATGGCTTGGTCCTGGTGGCATTGCTGTGGTGGCATGGCTATGATGGCTTGGTCCTGGTGGCATCGGTGTGATGGCATGGCTGAGATGGCTTGGTCCTGGTGGCATCGCTATGGTGGCATCCCTATTATGTCATGGTCCTGGTGGCATAGCTGTGGTGGCATGGCTGTGGTGTCATGGTCCTGGTGGCATTGGTGTGGTTGCATGGCTGTGATGGCTTGGTCCTGATGGCATCAGTGTGGTGGCATGGCTGTGATGGCTTGGTCTTGGTGGCATCACTGTGGTGGCATGGCTGAGATGGCTTGGTCCTGGTGGCATCACTGTGGTTGATCCCTGTGATGTCAATGTCCTGGTGGCATAGCTGCGGTGGCATGGCTGTGATGTCATGGTCCTGGTGGCATCGCTGTGGTGGCATGGCTGTGATGGAATGGCCATGGTGGAATGGTTTTGGTGGCATAATCCTGATGGCGTGGTCATGGTGGCATTGTCTGGTGATGTGGTCATGATGGTGGGGTCATTTTACAGCCTGATCTCCATCTGCTACTCGCCTCTTTAACCTGCCTTGTTAATTGCTAATAATACAGGCCTGATTTTTCTCAAATGCACATTTTACTGCCCCTGAAAAACCCTAGGCATACTTATTTTTGCTCCCCTCAATGTTACTTTCTGTTCCATAAATCCATAAATGGACCAATCAGAATGCATATTCAGTATCTAGAACTGACAATTGTCTAGATGTGAACAACTAAGGTAACCCCTCGATTGTGTGTGAAATGTATTTACTATCGCTCTAATCTGTATTTGTCACAGTGTTCTCAGCTGGCATGGAGACCACAACAGGCATTCTGTAGGCCCGACAAACACACATTTGTTGCTTCCCAGACCTAAAATGTGTGTCAAGCTCAGTCATGAGACATAGGTAGAAACTGCTTTTTCTGGATTTCCCATAATTCTTCTCCATGACATCTTGGCATTTCTGGGTTATGTATATTTTAAAATCTGGACATTTCCACTGTTAGCTTATATCATACAGGAGATTTTACTTTATGTTGTTACCTATCTAAAAAATAATCCACCTGTTGGATTCTCTATTTTTCTACTTTAAGACCAGAAAATTAATTTAATTAAAAATAGTTAGTTCTTTAAAAAACTCAAACAGTTAACATGTAATTTTTGTCAATAGATGTTTTAAAATCTGGCTTATGATCAAACCAATGAGATAATAGTTGCGATCTTAACAGTTAATAACTTTCAATATTCTGACTTCGAGAGAGAAGATTATAAGTCTAAGATAACAGGTAAATTAATATTGTTTCTGTTCTATTTCATTTGATAGAAAAGGGTAGTGGGAGATGATTTTGGCTAGTTGATATGTTAATAATGACATGTATTTATTTTATAATATGTCTAGACAAAAAGCTATGAGTATGTAGTGTGACACTAAAACCTCAGTTCTTTTCCATTCATGATAACATGTTTTACAAAATTGCTTAATTTTTGTTAATTTTCCATTTCAACTCAAAATGAAAAATTCAATGATAATTGACCAGTTCAGTAAACAATAGGACGGGATTTCAGGACGTTGATCAATACTTGAGAGTCCTCTCCATCAGTTTTCCTGGAACCCCTGTAGAATAACTAATACAATTAGATATTGATGGGATGTCACAAGCTTTTTATGATAGGCAAGGAACTCCAGTATGCAACAGTATTTCCTCAGAGTGTGTGTGTAAGTGCACGCGTTTGCATTACAAGCTAAGACTTCTAGAAAAATAATACCTCATCTGGCCATTTGCTAGCCTCAAATTCCAGTTTTCTCAGAATTTCACTCATTTCCTAGTCACATGGTTCAATAATATAATGAGCATTAGAATTATTGTAGCTTTGCTTTTCATGTTTACCCTCAATTCCCATTTTTCAGGAAAGGCAATTTGGTACCCTGATACAACCACAGGCACCTGTCCAACCCCTCTAAGGAGACTAAGTGTATTGGGGTCTTTTCTCTGATGATCTGTATGGTTCACTCCACAAGCTCAGATCCATTCTGGTCCTTAAGTGTCCATTCTGCACAGCTCAGTTTTCTTTTTTTTAATGTAATATGTCTAAAACTATCGGAGACTCTAACAACTTTAGAAACACACCAGGTTTTCTATGCAGCCTAGGGCTTCCAATTGCAAATATTCAATGAATAATAGGAAAATTTGAGCCTCGCTGAAGGCACATGTCAATATTCTGTGCATCTTGATCGAATGCATTATTGTCTCTTTAGCTGCATGTGTCAGCCGGCTATCTAGAAAGATGGAAACAACTGAGTCCCTGTAGCCAGAGCTTCTTAATGGTCCACGCAAATATGCTTAAGTTTATTTCCTTCATAACTCTTTGAAAAGCTTCTCACCACTCCTTCTGTAAAAAATTGAATACACATAAAACAAACTTCATGTTCACTAAAGTGCATTGAGTTTGAAAGCCAGCAGTGATTTGATTAATGTAGATTGAAAATGAAAATAAGTGTATATATTTTCATACTTAGAAATTTAGAATTCAAGATACTTTCAAGAGAAAAAGAATTCCCGTGTACCTGGTGTCCAGTCTCAAATACCTCAAGTAAGGTTTGCAGCTGACTAACCCCGCCTTCCATAGGTGTGTCTGCGTGGACGTGAAAGTAGCGTTACCTTTGTGGGGTCTCTCAGCAGGCTGCTGCACATTCGTTTCCAAAGCTAGCATCACCAGAACTGAAGTCCCAGCAAGGACATACCTCATGACTTTGTGGATGTTAACCACAACCTTACGGTGGCAGCATGCATGCACACTGCATTTCTTAGGGTTTTGCACACAACTTTTTATCTCAGCTACAGTCATACATAAGCATCTTACACAGAAGCAGTGTCTGAGTCCAATCAGGAGATGACTCATGCAGTAATTTGCATGGAGAAATTTACCATAAAGAAAGGGAGGAGCAAGCGAATGGAAAGAAAGATAGCCGGAAGGGGTATGGCCGTAGCAGATGTGGGGAGCAGCCATGGCCCCTAGGACTGAGGTGGACATTGGAGAGTGGCTCCCTAGAGCAGGATTGGGCACTGTGGAGAGGGGTAGTGAGTCTTGCTGAATGGCAGGGAAGTCCCTGTGCTGGAGGAGCTTGCCAGAAACTCACCCTGCAGACACTGAGGGACACCTGCCCTGAGGGACGTGCTGGAAAGCTATATCCTCTACAACTAGCTGGAAATCTACCACGTGATGCTCTGTGGCAGAGGACAGCTGAGGCGAAGGTGTCTCTGGAGGGGTCCCCTGCAAAGCCACCCCAAGGAGCTGCACATGGCCGCATGCTGGCGACACTGCCTGTGAGAGAGGAGCCGTGGAGGGGAGGGCAGGAAAGCAGGAAGGAAAAACTTCTCCCTGAGGTATCTTTTCCACAACCTCTTCTGACAAAGCTTGACACTGCATGGCTGGCAAAGAAAGATTGGTTAAGGGGCCCAGTTCCATTCACACCGAGTGGCCAATGAAAGTGGATTTGGAGCAGAGATGCAATCAACCCATCATCAGTGCTAAACTAAATGCAAATGCTTATCATTTTTCATCTCCAATCTTTTACTCATAACGGCATTTATGTTTTCTGGTAACAAACACGGAGCATGCCCTTACGACGTGCCCTGCACCCAGGACAAAGATGTGCAGCCAGGCTCATGCCCTCTGCAGCTCACGGTCTGCACAGGGCAACAGACGCCGAGCATGCAACCCCCCACCCTCATAGAGAAGTGCCGATTATGGGAAATGAGGGGTATTAGCACAGAGAGACAGGAAAGGTTTCTATGAGAGTGACATTTAAGCTGGGACTGGAAGAATCAATAGGATATAAGCACGCATGGAGAGGGAGAAAAAGCCACAGAAATAGCGTGAACAGCTGCCCAGAGTCAAGGACGGGTTGGTGGTTTCTGAGAACTGAAAGTTGGGCAGGTCAGGCAGGCTTTCTGTGATGGGATTGTGTAGCCAGACCAGGCCAGGACCGGCAGGGGCAGTAGGTCCTGTGTCCCTGTTGTCCAGCATGGCGCCTGCAGGTAGAAGCCCGTAGCACTTGTCACAGTAGGTGGTGTTTCCAACTCTTCACTCCTGGCTCACCCCAAGTATCCTTAGGCTGCTATGCTGAAGATCTAGAAAGGAGGCAAGAGTGAAATACTGCATTGAATACCACAAATACCACATTTAATTTTGTCTTCTTCTATCTGTTTGGTGTGTTCTTCTATTACCAGTTGCCTTAGTTTATTTATTATTTGCCTGTGACATCATCCTGAGTTGGGTCAGCTCTTCTTCTATGTAGAAGAGAACAGAGGATCTATCCTTAGCACTTTGGGTCACTGTGTTTGGGATTAAGGCTGGAGTATGGTTGGTGGTGATTGCTAGGGGGTTACAGAATATTATATATCTATATACATATATATAGGTATATAGATATGTACATACATCTATAGGTATAGATATATACATATCTATATATCTAGATATATAGATATGTACATATATACATATATACGTATATACATATATGTATACATATATACATATATACGTATATACATATATGTATACATATATACATAAATGTATACATGTATATACATTATATACATATACATACATATATACATACATACATATACATACATACATATACATATATACATAATATACATATAAATGTGTATATACATATATACATACATATACATATACACATATATATGTATATATGTATCTATATGTATCTATATGTATATATGCATATATATGTATCTATATATACATATATACATATGTATACATATGTATATATATAGATATGTACATATCTATATACCTATATATGTACACATATATATGTGTATATATATGTGTATATATATAGGCTATATATATGTGCATGTATACGTGTATGTATGTGTATATATATATATGTATGTGTATGTGTATATATATATATATGTATATAGACACAGGACCTACTGCCCCTGCCCGTCCTGGCCTGGTCTGGCTACACAATCCCATCACAGAAAGCCTGTGTGTGTGTGTGTGTCTGCATGTGTGTGTATATATACACACGTATATATACATATATGTATATACATACACGTAGATACACATATATATGTGTGTATATACATATATACACACATATATATGTATATACACACACACACACATATAACAATATCAACCAGTCCCACTTGTTAGATAAAGGTAACTTTTGGATTTTCACGGCAAACATGTTCATCATCCAGCCAGGTGTGATGGCTCATGTTTGTAATCCCAGCACTTTGGGAGGCCGAAGCAGGCAGATCAGTTGAACCCAGGAATTTGAGACCAGCCCAGGCAACATAGCTTAACCCTGCATCTACAAAAAATGCAAAAATTAGCCAGGCATGGTGGTGCATGTCTGTAGTTCCAGTTACTTGACAGGCTGAGGCAAGAGGATCACCTGAGCCCAGGAAAGTCAAGGCTGTCATGAGCCTAGATCTGCCATTGCACCCCAGCATGGGCAACAGTGCGAGACCCGGCCTCAAAAGAAAAAAAAGGAAAAAACCCTGCATCATGTCATTGTTGACCTTTCCTTGGGAATCAGCATTAAAGTGCATTGTGTCTGTCTTGTGTTCACCACAGTGGAGCTCTAAATCAGCACGCTCAGGAATTTTCTGCAAGGACAGAAATGTTCTACATGAGCACTGTTCAGGACTACCTGGTGTCCAACACCACCTCCCAAATTAACACTCTGTACATGACTTAGATCTATTTAGTTCAGTGTATTCTCCAAGAGGGCATAATCCCCCAAAATGCTTGGGGTGGCTCCATTGATGTAACCAGCACAGAGTAACCACACACAGAATGAAATGCCACTGCTATCATGTTGGGGCCTCATATTATTTGAATCTGAGAATATAAAAAATTTTAGTGTATTTTCTTCAGAAGTAGCCATATCCTTATTCTTAACAATCATTCATTCAATAACTATGCATATTGAGTATGTATTTTATTTTCTAAATTAGGATATGCCTTAACTTTTTATGTAAAGAAGATCTTTATAAATGTATTTGTGATTTTGAAAGACAGAAACATGTATATCTACAGATAGTTAATAAAGTTACTTTTTAGTTATGGCTATGAAAACTATGCTGTGTTCTTAAAAGACAAAGAAATAGACAATTACTCTCTAACTGGGAAGAGATAAGAATATTGTCTTAATCTTTCAGCCCTGTGGAAATGGTGTGGTTGGGCTGTTGCAGTCTTTAGGGCTAGCCTGGACCTCTTTGATTGGACTTGGGTCTCCCTACCCTTGGAAACACTGGGGCCTGCACACTGGCATTGGTCATTTGTGTGTCTGCACTGGACATTTAAATCCAAACGTTCCTGTAAGATGTATTCTTCTTCCATATTTGAAATAGTGGAAAAACCTGGACAAGCTTTGCGTGCAAGTCTTGTAATTAGCTTCTTAAACAGGGTATTCTTCCCTTTGAATGAGCCCTGGAGACTTCATGTAACTGTTTCCACTGTGTTGATGACTGTCTGCGGTCACCATCGGGGAACAGCCCCCATGTCATCCATTTTGGTGTTCCCTGTTGGAAATCTGTTCAGGAAATGAGACTAAGAATTAGGAACCTGGGGTCTCCTTAAGCAAAAAGTAAGAATATCACTACCTATTCTAAGTACTCTCCAGAATTAAAATAACACATACCCATTTACTTCCCTTGTGCGTGGGGAGTCGTTGGGTTTACGGCACCCAGATCAGCAAGGCGAAGCCGTCTTCCTCTTCTGCACCACCAGGAAGACACTGTCCCCGAGCTCTGCAGGGAGGCCGCCAGACGGCGCATCAGTCAGCCCGCCAGGCTTTTCCTCAGAGCTGGACCTACACAAAATGCCCCCTTAGAGAATGAGGACTTTCTTACTTCTGTGAAGAGATGTGAATTGAAGAACATGATGACCTAAACTCTTCACTGGGTCGTTCAGGGTAGAAAAACTTAAGGGTGATCGGCATAGATAATAACCAATGTACTAAATAATGATGCAAGACCCAGAAACTAAATTCATTTTGTCCTTAACTAAAATTTGAATTTGTATTCATTTAAAATTCTTCTTGATGGTATCTTTGTTAAATAATTGTTCTGGTCCCTTATATCTCCTCGCTATATCTTGTCATTTCCTAGTATTTTAACAATCTCAAATTAGATAAAATATCTATTCTCATTCAGATTTCATCTAACATGCCGTTTAATTATATACATATGTAACATATATATTCTGGTTTTAGTAAATGGGGTAAATTTGTGGCAGCATACTTAATAGGTTTTTCTGAAACTATTACTAAATTCAGACATATGAAAATATATTGCTTTATTAGTATATAAGAGCCAATATCATTTTACTACATATTTTTATAAAAGTATTTCAATCTTCATTTTGGAGTTAGAATTTTTGCTTGCTTTGAGTTTAAAACTTGGTCAACTTAGATCTGTTTTTCTCAATATCAGGTAGCCACAATTTTATCTCCAAGACTAGCAGGAGAAAAGGCCAACATTTGTACCTTTGTGACTCCTGTTTCAGAAAGAGATACATAGTTCTCCTCCCCAAGGAAACACAGTTGTTGGTAATTTGTGAACAATAGCAAAAGGAAGGGAGGAAAGAGGTCAGCGTTGGCTATGTGCTGGCTACGACCAGCCCTGCGGTGGGGGTGGGGCAGCATGTTGTCACCTGTCTGGGCTCACGCAGGGCTTCATGTGGAGTGCCGGCTGTCTTCCTCCTGGCTTGGCTACAGTTTTCATCACGTGCTGGACGCTGCACGCCACCAACATCATTTCACCACCGTCTCAGATCTTTGTTCCTTTGCTCTGCATCTTAGTTCATTTCGCTTACCTCACTAATGACCTCACTGAGTGATACAAGCCCTACTTTCAAATAACTCACCCTCTGTTAGAGGAGTGAGCAGATGACAACATAAAACATGCCAAATGCAAGGATACATTGCACTCCGTAAGAATCCAAGGGATGGCAGCTCTCCTAGCCAGACGGCCGCAGGAAGGCAGTGCCCATTGGACTATATGCAAAAGAGAAATGATGAATGCACCTCATGAAAAACGGAGATAGACTGCACCCCATGAAAATGCACCCCATGAAAAATGGGGAAGGATCATAGAGACAAAGAAGTAACTACTGTACCTATGATACAAATCAAATGCATAAACCTGACTAAAAGCATGAGGTGTCAAGAAATGACACATGGAGCTGGAGAATGTGATGATGGATTTTCACTCTGATGGGCTTTCCCGTGGCTGTGAAGAAAACATATCTGAGCAGCAGAGGCTGAAGTCCTCCTGGCCATTTGGAGGCTTGTTTTAGGAATCGCCTAATTGGCAATAGCTTCAACGGGGATGGTGTCTTCCAGAGAGAAAAAGAAAGACAGACTGGATAAAAATTTCAAGAGGAAAAATGGAAGGGCATTGAGTATATGCAGCCAAAGGCAAGCTGAGAAGCCAGGGCAGGTGTAAGGGCCAAGGCGGATGCCCAGAGAGGAAGTACTCATCAATGGGAGGATGCACATCCAGGTCAGAGGATGTCAAGAGCTCATCAAAGGGAGGACATAGATACAGGTCTGAAGGTGTCAAGAGCTCATCAATGGGAGGACGTACATCCACGTCTTAAGGTATCAAGAGCTCATCAATGGGAGGACACACATCCAGGTCTGAAGTTGTCAAGAGCTCATCAACAAGAGGACGTGTGACCTGGTCTGAAGGTGTCAAGTTTGAAGTTGTGAAGATGGAGGTGACAGTGACAGACGGTGAATGGTGGAGGACCCTGAAGCTTGGAGGAGGGGTCTAGGCCCCATTTGTGAGCAATCGCCAAATGGAGGAAGACAGACCCCAGCAAAGTGGGTAAGTGACTAGACCCTCTCAGGAGATGATTCCATAGGAGGAGGTCAAGGGACAAAGAAGAAGAGGGGAGGAAGGCCAGTGGCTCGTTCTTGCCCGAAGTGCAGGCAGTGGAGGTGCCATGAAAGATGACCAATGAAGCTTGAGAAGAAAATGAGCAGTCCACAAAGTCAGTGGAAGCTCAGCCTTGGAGAAGTTCCACTGGGAAAGGGAGGAGAGACAGATGGATAGCTAGGGTGGCATGTGCAGTTCAGGGGGGGGTTTCTTTGGAGATAGGTGGGAGAGAACTCAACAAACAGGCTAAAATCAGAGAGTCAGCAGGGAATGCAGTGCTGGTAATCGCTAAGTCACCTTCAGAGCTAAGGGGCTGGACTTAGAAGGGCCCCTGCAATGTAGGCAGTACACTTCCCAGATGGAGTTGCAGGAAGGGGTGGGCACCCTGAACACAGGGGCAGCTGTGACTGTGAGGTGGGCAAGAGTGTCAGTGCACAGTTGCCTGCTGGCTTCACTTCCCTCAATTACATAAAAGACAGACTGATTTTAAAAATGAGTGATGGGGCCAGGCGCGGTGGCTCACGTCTGTAATCCCAGCACTTTGGGAGGCTGAGGTGGGCGGATCACGAGGTCAGGAGTTTGAGACCAGCCTGACCAACATGGTGAAACAGTGTCTCTACTAAAAATACAAAAATTAGCCGGGCATGGTGGGGCATGCCTATAATCCCAACTACTCAGGAGGCTGAGGCAGGAGAATTGTGTAAATCTGGGAGGCAGAGGTTGCAGTGAGCCAAGATTACGCCACTGCACTCCAGCCTGGGCAACACAGAGCTAGACTCCTTCTCAAGAAAAAAAAAAAAAAAGAGTGATGGGCTCCTGTGCAGGGCTGATGGAGGATCTTGGGACTTTGGGACTTTGGATTTAGCTTGAGAGTGATGGGTGAGCTAACCAAGCAAAGACATGGAAAGAATTAAGGATGGAATGGAGAGCTCACTGGCATGGGTGAGTTCATTCACAGTGGACTTTGTCCAGGGCGGAGACTTTACGTGGTTCAGGGCATTCTCCAGTACCATTTGTCACCAGAGCAGATTGCGGTGGTGGGAGGAAACTCATGCTCCAGGAAGATGCCCCACCACCTGTGTTGTGCTGCCATGCTGCACCTTGGAATATGTTGCCTTCCATGGAAAAGGAGACTTTGCAGATGTAATTAAGGTTACTTATCAGTTGACCTTAAAATAAGGTTTATCCTTGGTTATTTGGGTGGGCCCAATGTAACCACACACACCCTCAAAAAGGTGGACAGAAAACAAAGAGATGCAGCAGAAGAAGTCAGATTTGAGGCGTGCAGTGCATGTGACACTGGCTGAAAGGTGAAAAGCACCTGGCCATGAGCCAGGGAATGAAGGTGGGATCTGGAAGCTCAAGAGGAACCAAGCTGACCACAGTCCCACAACTGCATGGAAGCAAATTCCATGAATTTGGAATAAACAAGTCCAATGAGTTTGGAATAAACCCAGCAGTGGATTCTCCACCAAACTCCAGATTAGAGTTCAGGCCAGCCAACACTTCCACTTTAACTTTGAAACCCTGAGGAAAGAATCCAGCCACTCCATGCAGGACCTCTGACCTTCTGAACTCTGACCCACAGCACTGCAAGGTAAGACATCTGTGTTGTGTTGAGTTGATAAATTTGCAGTGATTTTTTACAACAGAAACAGAGAATGAACACAATACCTTTTGTGAAGATGAGTGACTATTACATTAATCTAGTATTGGAGTTTCTCTATGTGGAGATGAGGAATTGATAGATGCAGGTGAGTTTGGGGTGCAGTTGAGTGTGATGAGGACAACCAACCTGTGGCCCAGGTTATGCAGGGAAAAGAGATATGATAGCCTGGGGAGAACAAGAGCTAGAGATCTCAGTGAGCTGAAGACATGCTCCAGTGAGCTCGAGAGCATATTTCTAAACACCTCCTTTCAGTAGCCCATTTCCCTAAAGCCAATTCCTATTTTAAAATAGTCCTTGACTCTTAAGGTTCACCAAATCATGTTTGTATTCCTGATTTAGACACTCACACTTCCTCCATATTTGCTTTCAGACCAGCAGTGTGCTTGCTGCTCTCCATGCTCACCTCCAGCCCGGCTGGTTGTGTAGGTAGAATGCCTGCCTCTAATTCTTCACTCCTCCATAAGAGCGTTATGAGTCTACATGATGGTGTGGGTATCACAGACACAGAATGGATTTTATGCTTGGTCGTGTGATTTGATTTGTTTATTGCGATATTAGGAGATACGGTGCAAGCAGAAGCTTAAAATGTGTTTCCATGGTGGGGCTTGAGTTCTAGAAATTCTGCCTTTGCCATGAACAGAAAATACTTGGGTAGCCATTGACCCCCCAACCACTGGCCCCAGGATGGGACTTGTGAAGCCCGACCACCCCACTGAACCATCTGATGCGTGAGTGTAAAATAAATGCATGCTACCAAAATTTGTTTGTTTTGAAGCAGAAGCTGTCTAATAGTGAGAATATCTTATTGCCCTCTTTCCTTTTTACTTTAGCTCATGATGTCCCCTCTTTCTCTCATACAGAAGATATTTTCTTTATTCCTCTTTGGCTCGAAAAATCTTACCCATTCTTCATGTTACAGATCACCTCTTTATCACTGTCCTGAAAGCCATTTTAGCACTAAAATCCAAAGAAAATGCCTTTGACTGCATATTTTGTTTCTCCCATAAAATTTATGCTTATGCGTTATCTTGTTTGGCCATTAGACTGATTCTATGGGATAAGCAGGATAGATAACATTAGATGCACTTGGTAAATTACGTGAAAATTGGTGCTCAGAGAAGTTTAGTGACTAAATCTTACTGTAACAAGCAGTAAAGGACATGGATAGAGTCTGAATCCAGAACTCAGATTCCAAGTTCTGAGTACTCACAACACACTATGGACTGTCTCCAGGCGAATCACAAACTCCTACAAGGCACAGTCTAAATACATTTATGTCTCATAATATTCAGCATAGGGCTTTGCACAGAGCAGATGTTCATTAGGTGCTCATTTGCTGAAATAACATGAATGAACATTAACTCAACTCAGCAGCATGTTTTCACCATCCCTGCTGAATGTGGGCTCCTCCATTCATGCTCCTGCCAGCTGAACCTCTGCTTTCTTCCTCTGGACAGAGCGTGCCCAACTTTCCCTGAAGAAGAGTTGCTCTGGATTTCCATGAAATGGTATTATTACCCACAATGCAAGAGGTTGAAGGGTAGGTGGGTTTTGTCTACCTGCTTTTCATATTATAATAACTACTTAGATTAACCGTAACTAGTCACCGTTATGTGTTGTCATTAATTTCCCATCTGAATTTTCCGTACCCAGTGAGAGCTGAATAGATATTACCTGTTGGCTGACAGATGGACCAGCTGACTGATTATATATCTGTGAAACCTGAATTTGGGGAGCTACAGAGACATTTTTCCTGTGATATTTGGGCTATGATAGAAAAATAACTGATAAACACCACTGTTAGCACTGAATGGTGTCTGTACTCATTGATATTTTACCTATTTGTGTCATTAAAATGATGTATTTGTCCTTGGTTGCTTTTGTTTCCAGCTTTATTGAGATGTAGTTAATATACTGTAACTCTCACCCTTTTGAAGTGTGCTGTTTAGTGGTTTTTAGTATGTTCACACCTATAGTAATTTGCAACTATTGCTGCTGACTTCAGAATGTATCACCACATCTTAAGGATATGACATTAGTCATTTCTTTCTTTCTTTTTTTCTTTTCTTTTCTTTTCTTTCTTTCTTTTTTTTTTTTTTTTTTTTTTGAGATGGAGTTTCATTCTTGTTGCCTAGGCTGGAGTGCAATGTCATGATCTTGGCTCACTGCAACCTCCGCTTCCCGGGTTCAAGCGATTCTCCTGTGTCAACCTCCCGAGTAGCTGGGATTACAGGTGCCTACCACCATGCCTAGCTAATTGTTTGTATTTTTTTGTAGTAGAGATGGGGTTTCATCATGTTGGCGAGGCTGGTCTTGAACTCCTGACATCGGGTAATCTGCCAGCCTCGGCCTCCCAAAGTGGGATTACGGGCGTGAGGCACCACACCTGGCCGACGTTAGCCATTTTTTTAGCCATCACTCTCTGTCTCCTCCTCCCCATTGCCCTTTGTCATCGCTCATCTACTTTTTTCTTGTTATGGCTTCTGTGTTCTGGACATTTCATGTAAATGGAATCATACAACATGTGGCTTTTGAGTCTACTTTCTTTCACTCCAAATTTTCAAGGATCATCCATATTGCAGCACACATCAGTCATTCATCCCCTTTCACCGTGGATGGGATTACACAGTGTGATACGCCAGCCTGTGTTTACATCCGTCAGGTCATGGATACTTGGATGGTTTGCATTTTGGACTGTTGTCAGTAATGCTGTTGTAAACCTTCATGCACAAGCTTTTGTGTGGACGTGTGCTTTCATTTCTCTCAGGTGCATGCCTAGAAGTAGAATTGCTGGGGACATGGGAACACAGTGTTTCATATTTAGAGAGATGCCAAACCGTTTTCAAAGTAGCTGCACCATTTTACATTTCCACCAGCAATGCATGAAAAGTTCTAAGTTACTTTTTTCTTTTGTTTCATTGACTTCTTTTGACAATCAAATGTTCTGTGCGTTGAATATTCAACTAATTTAGCAGTCGCTTGTCTAAAATAATGCTGGTGAAAATAGACCATGTAATTCTTCAAGATCCCATTTGAACCCCATGGTGATGGTTAGATTTACACACGTAGGACTACAGGATGCATGGATGGCAAACAGCAAGAGAACCTTTAAAATCCAGCACCTGCCTACTATTTGAGGTTCTGCACATAATGTTCTTGAGCTTCTGAAATATTTAATACTGTAGGTGGGTCATGGGAGTCTGATTACAGGAAACAGCTTTCCATTTATTTAGTGGTCACTGTTCCTGAAAAAAAAAAATCCCAAGAAAGGCCATCAAAGTCCATTTCATGGGTCTTTTGAGGTTCCAGATATTACATTTAAAACTTGACTAAATGGTCCTTTTGAATTACACTTCCCTGAGAATGCACAGGAGGTGACACTTTTTCAGGTACGACATCTACCACTATTCTTATATCACTGACTAAAAAATAAGAAGAGCTGGTAGCCATAACTACCGGGCACAAAAAGGGTAAAACATCGTTAGGGTCCCTTGGTAGATTCTTTGTTGGCAAATATTCTAGTAAATATGAGAGTTGTAAGACCCTCTACTGTATTTTGTATGTAAATTATATTTTTAGCTAATAACTTCTGTATAATCCTAAGAGTCAGAGTTTCACTTTCAACAGAAGTGGATACGTTTCACATTACAGGAGAAATTTCATAGCAGCGTCAAATTCATATTAGTTCAGTAAGAAGAAATTTGGCCATGGACAGTAAAAAGAAGAAAGAAAATATGTGTACAAAAAGCACATTTTAATGCTGAAAACTCAAGAAGGAGTCATGAATCAGACATCCAAACATTCTTCAGGTGAGTCTACAGGCCTTACCCTCCACCTGGTTCAATTCCTGAAATCTAAGCCAGCGAGAATCTAAATGGCTGACCATCCAGCGCAATTTCCCTTGCAAAAATTCTGAAAGACACAATAACACTGTTGAAGTACATTGAGATCCATCAGGGTCACAGTTTTCAGTGAATAACAGGAAATGTTAGAATTGCTATGCTTGTAACTATTACTAATGCTATTCCCACCTTCCAGTTTGTCTTTCCTATGAAATGTCTTGCCTTTTCCCCACTACCTTTCTGCCTCTTCTATTCATCTTTCTGTGAAGGACTTCCTGTGATACGATTTAACTGAACAGAGATTTTGATAAACGTCATGGAACTCCTTCCTTAACGTGGAATTTATGTAAAAAGGGTCTTCCTGAAATGGCTGACCCAATCTCCTACTTAATAGAATGCATCTTCTTTTTTTCTTCTTTATTTTTGGCAGGCACACGGAATGCAAAAGAAACGAGTTTTGCTGTATTTTCGTGTCGCATGAAGCATTCATTTCTATTCCTTACAGCTAGCAGCATTTTCTGTTCAATTAAAGGGAGAACAGCAGCTCACAAAGAAGGCAGCACTTCCTTCCAGAACTTGGAGAAGGAGCTTACAAATTGCTCCATCAAGGCCCGCAGCAGCCTTGACAGGTTCTTCTTTACTCAGAGTGGGGAGGAAGGTAAGGTTTGATATAATACTCTCTTTAAAATCCTGAGTGAATAAAGTAGTCTTGAGAGAAAGTTTCCAGATATAGATTACCTATAAAAAGAATAAAAGGGATGAGCATTGAAGATTTTTCGTCGCCGTAAACAAATAATTTGTGATCGCTGTACACTCAAACCACAAACAGAACCAAGAATTAGAAGTACCCCTAGCTGACCAGCATGTGCGTATATCATCGGTCTGGTGTAATGAAGATTGCCTGATAAAGATCGCAATATGACAGTTTTCCTTTTGCCTTGGCTGCTGAACAGCCAGAAACGGTTTTCTGCGGCCGGCCAGCTATTGATCCAGCTCTCTCTTGTCAGTGATGCAGTTAATGGGAATTCCACAGGCAAATAAAAGCTACATTTTGTCTTCATTTTCATCTGAAATATGAGCTGGTCCTTTGTACTCTAGACAGTCATTTATTACTCATTTTCCTTTATTGATGTTTATGAGCTGAGGCATAAAATGATTCTCAAATGTAGTTTAATTGAGGCATCGGTTGACACTGTAACCATGATTACCGATGCGCCATCAGCAGCGTGGAGCCCATGAATCAAGGTTTGCTTTTCATTGGTCTTGGAGGCAGCACGCGGGAGAGAGTATCCTTAGAAAGCAACTGGGCTGGAGCTAAAGAAATATGTCGATTTATCTTCATAGGTAGCGAGAGGGAAAGGAGTCTCCCCAGTCCTCATCCGGCAGCCACATAGAGGCCAAGTGTTCCCGGGCACCTGGCATCCAACGGCTCGCTTTCCTAGGATGGGAACGTTCTTCTGAAACAGAATCCTATTATTGGTTTTTAAAATATTTTCAGCCTAATGATTAACCTTAAAAATCACACGAGAAAGTGCTGCCAGACACAGCCAATACACAGCAAGATGGGGAGGCCCAGTCCTTCAATTCATTCGTAAAATGGTGAGAACAATCAATGCGGGGAGAAGTATTTTTTATATGCAGTTATTAACTCATAAGCTACAGTATATCTCATCTCATTTCGACAACAGCTGAGGTCTCCATCTCCCCCTGGAGACCCCTGCAGGTCCCATTATGAGAATCATAAATAATATGTGCTAATGAGATATGAATTGATTATGTTGGAAAAGCTGACATTTTCATCCATCATTCTAAATGATGTTTAACAATGGATTACCAGCCAGTAATTCCTCTGATATGAGATTAAATAAAATAGCCGGCTGTTTCAGCAGGCTAGCTCAAGGAGATGGCAATAAATCTGCTCAATTACTGTATTACCAATCCGTTTTTCACTGCTAAGGATATTATTATTTCATTTAGACTTGTTCATGCATCATAGATTATTTTATTTCAGGCAGTCAATGGGAGAAACCGCAGCGTTTTATTCACTGAGCCACGGAGCAGTGGCTTTGCCCGAGTACAGTAAATGTCTCTCCGTGGGCCCCAAACGCCCCGAGGAGAGGCCACCCAGCTGCCCCTGGGCTGAATGGGCAACGTGCAAGACACATTTTAGAAAGAAGCATTTTGCTTTTAACCTAATTTTCTTTACTTATCTGAAAAGTCTCAACCGAAGGATACTGCCTAAGAAACTGATCGATTGAAACAAGATTATTAGATCCTCTAAGATGATTTGGTCTTCATCTCAATCCTGTAGTAGATTGAGAATTAGATCACAGGGACTATCCTTTGGCCTGGAAAATTAGATTAGCAGCCACTGCAATACAAAGGGTGGCCTTTCTCCCCTGTGCCCAACAAACAAACAACACATACACTCTATTGATGAGAAAAGTGGATTGGCAGGAAGCATTTCCCTGGCCCTCCCAGCATCATTCACCATTTCTGACAACCCTAATGAAGTTTTGTGACTGCATTCAGTGATTGTCTATAAGAGTAAAATAAAAGAGGGATGAATTATCCTAAAACTAAGAGTTCATCAATTCATTCCATCATTCATGTAATCCCCCATTTATCAGTTGACTAAGGAAGACAAGGTCTGCACCTGCCGAGGGCCAGCCCTGCTTTATGCTGTGGGAGATGAGAGACCCACACCTGCCAAAGGCTCCGCCAACACTTCACCTGGGCAACTTCAGGTCCTTGCTACCTGCCCTGGCCCCAAGGCCTCACCTGTGCCGGCCTGAGAGGTGGAGCAGCCTCTGACCCCTTCCCATGCACACAGACAGCAGGATCAGCCTCTTACCTCCTGCTGTGGGGGTTCACAGTGACACAGGCATGACATGACACCTGAGACTCCAATGCACACACAGCCAGAAGTGTGAGAGAGTCAATGGTACAGGCAAAAGACCTTTGATGGGAGCTGGTGGTTAAATTCCTTTCTCTTCTTACTGCAGACAGACTGCCCTGAGGAGGCACTTTCATCAGCCTCACCAGGACCAGGTCCAGCGAGACTGAACACTCAGTAACCAGACCCAGCAGAGGCCAGCATGGGGGATGCACACCCATATTGAGTTCCTCCTCCCTTGCCTCACAACTCTTTCTTCTCACTCATGTGTCCCAGGATTGCACCCCTGAAACAAGAAGTAGCTCCGGAGGTTTTGGTCTGCCTCTGGTTTCTGCAAATCGCAGGCTAAAGCGATGTGTGAGCCTGGCCAGCAGACCTCCGAGGTGGGTTGTGGAGCTGGGCAATTCCATGGAGCCCCTGTTGCAGGCGGTGATGCCCTCTCTGAGGATGTGGCAGGACCATTTCTAAGTCAGCATAAAGTACAAGCAGGACACAAGGTGTCTGGATATGTGGTAGCAGGTGGTTCTTGCACGGGCTGAGTCACTGACAGCTGCAGGATAAGATTGAGGAATGAATTGACTGGTAATACGTTTGAATGTCTTGGCAGGTGGAAATGTTAGGCTCAGAGTAGTCCATTCCCACTCAGACATTCTGAGCAAGCAAGAGATATTGAAGGAGAATGGCAGCTCCGGCAAGGGCAGAGGACGATTCTGAACACGGGGGCCAGGACCTTCCCGCAGGCACAGCAAAGGGACTGCAGAGGGAGGGAGCGTGCAGCCTTTTTAGCTCCCTACTCAAAGGACAACCCTGGGTTCTTGACACCTGAGATGCGGCAGGTGAAGAATCTCCAATGCACAAATTCTTCTAAAGCTCTTGAGTTAGAAGAAAAAAGCTCCCCTAAGATCCTGGCAACTTGTTTTGTTCCAGTAAGTGCATCAGTGACTGGCAGGATTCTGTCTCGATTTTGTGTAGAAGAGCAATGTTACACTGTATATAAAATACTAAAAATGGGAAATGTTTACTGGCATCTCTGATCAATTAGTTGTTGCTCAAAATATTTACACTATATATTTTAATTTTCGTTTTACCTATGAGGAAAATGAGGATCAGAAAAAAAATCCGGCTGCAAACTATTAAATTAACACATAGCAGAGCTGAAATTTACACCGCTTTTATTTTCTTCTTCCCTTTGTAAATTATTTAATATTATTTCAAGAAATGGAATTACACTTTCTACTTCCCAGTACAGTCTTACTCAGTTGTTTTTATGTAAGGACTACTAAAAAACAAAATATTTCACAAGTAGTTGTATTTATGTCTACTGGTTGAAAAAACGTGAAAATTATGAAGAACTACAGCAAAACTTAATATTTTTACAAATATATATATTATTAATCACAAAATTTTCACTATGTATGTGATATATCATAATAAATATGTATGGAAAGTGTATATTTAGGTAGAAACAAACACATTCTCACTTAGATTTATAAACCTGCTTGCAAAATTCTTTATTGCCAACAGGTTTTCAACAACCAATTTGGAACATTAGTTCTACCAAGGTATCCCTGTTGTACTTTTTGCCTCTGATACCCTGTAATGCTCCCAGGAATGAAGGTGCTCCCAGTGGGCAGGAGGGGAGAGGTCTTGGAGGGGTGTTCACTCCCTGGGCTATGGCAGGCATTGCACACAGACATTAGTGTATATATGGATAGTGGGGCTTTGATGGCATGGAAGTCTGTGTTGATTTATTAGTGGCCTCAAATCTTTATTCCTCTCTTTATTTACACCTTATGTGATATGATTTTGTGTTTTATTTCATGAAAAAGTCCAAGTCTACTTCCACTCTGTGAAATCTGGGCTGGCCTTGAAGGTTATTTGGCTAAATCTAGAAACACATGAGAATACATGGTATCAAATCTTCAGATACTGTCTTGGTGAATTTTGTGTCAACTTGGCTAGATCCTAGTGCTCCACCTTTGTTCAAACACCTTTCTAGATGTTGCTGTTAAGGTATTTGTTAGATGTGATTAACATTTAAAATCAGTGGACTTCGAGTAAAATGGATCATGCTCCATAATGTGGGTGGGCCTCGTTCAGTCAGTTGAAGGCATTAAGAAAGAATCCGACCTGCCCGGAGAGGAGGGAATTCCGCTTCCCACAGCCTTTGGACTCAAGCCTGCAGCATCAAACCTTTCCAGAATGTCCAACCTGCCAGTCTGCCTTGTAAATTTCCTACTTGCCAACCCTATGATCATGTGAGCCAGTTGCTTAAAAGTCTCTCTCTCACATCCCACTGGGCCCATTTTTATAAACAACTCTAGCTCCTACAGAACAAAATAACAAGATACAAAATGCAATTCATGCGAAAATAATATTATCTGTGTGTCTGTGCTTCAGGGTCTGTCTGTAAACCTGGAAAGCTGTTGGGATCCCCTTGCTCAGGCTTCAGGGGGTCCTGGGGGTCTCTGCCTTGCCCTCCTTGTGCCTCTGCTCTCACCTGAGCATGACTGGCCTGGCCTGCTGGAGGGTAGGTGGCCCAGCCACCCTATCACCCACACACAGTCAGCTCACCTGTGAGTGTGTGATATGGATGAGAACCCAGCGGCACCCAGGGGAATACTCAGCCAAGTGCAGCCCCCACCAACCCAGTCCACAGCAGAAAATGAGTTCAGTGGGGTCCCATCCTCGTGGAGCTACATTTACATGGAAAACGTCAGTCAGTTGACAACATAATTTCTTTTTTTTTTAACTAAGGTTTTTATTTAATGCAAGATATATAGTGAAGTGATCTTCTTTATATATATGTATATGTATATATATATATATATACATATACATATATATATAATTATACTTTAAGTTCCAGGGTACATGTGCACAATGTGCAGGTTTGTTACATATGTATACATGTGCCATGTAAACCATCATTCTCAGCAAACTATCGCAAGGACAAAAAACCAAAAACCTCATGTTCTCACTCATAGGTGGGAATTAAACAATGAGAACACTTGGACACAGGAAGACAACATAATTTCTTTGTGATAGAAGCTTTGAAGGATACATCTGAGAAAGGGAGTGATTAAAATGGAACAGGGAAGGCCTCTCTAACAGGTGGTGCATTTGGGATAAAACAGATAAGAAAAAGACAACCCTTTGAGAGGAGGAACTGCTTCTAGTCATTAGAAAATATTCTTCGAAGGCCCCCCAGAGAGAGCTCGGTTTGCGCAGCTGTGGGAGCAGAAGGCTGCAGGCAGAGTTGCATCAACCACAAACCATGACTTTTTGCAAAGTCATGGAATTGGGATGCAACAAAAATTCTTACTATATGTGAAAAGAATATTATGTGCACAAATAAGTTTTGTGAATACTGGTTGAGACAATGCTAAATAGTTTTTGTTTTTTAACTGTAGGCTTTTCAGAGCCCAGTGAATACTATGAATGACCAAGGATTAAGGGGTCTTATGAGACCAGGGATCTACCTATTTTATAAATGAAACATGTTTCCTGGAGGTCCTAGAATTTGGAAAGTGATGAACTAGGGCTCTTTAAGTGTTTTTCTGCTTGAGCTGGAGTAGAAGAAGGAAGAAGCAAGTCTGAGTTTCGGGACAGGCAGATGTTGGGCAGAGAAAGACACACAAAGCTAGAGGAAAGTACCTGGCCTTTCCAGGTTGTTACGCGCTCTTCTTTGACTTGTGTATGTTAAGAGGACCATTGACAAACTTGACCAGGTGCAGAGGAAAGCCTGAGAGGTCATAGGCTTAAGGTTGATATGCTGTCAATGGGACCAATGTAGGTGCTCAGAGGGAGAAAGGTATCAGGAAATGGCACCAATATTTCAGATAAGTAGGACACAAAGGACCCTACTGAAAAACAAAAACATGTTACAGCTTCATACTGATCTTTGCAAATAGAAGGAAAAGAGATGTAAGTTTAAAAAAGTAATAATAAGATGAGGCTGAGCATGGTGGCTCACACCTGTAATCCCAGTACTTTGGGAGGCCGAGGCAGGTAGATCACCTGAGGTCAGGAGTTTGAGACCAGCCTGGCCAACATGGTGAAACCTCGTCTCTACTAAAAATACAAAAATTAGCTGGGTGTGGTGGCGGGCACCTGTAATCCCAGCTACTAGGGAGGCTGAGGAGGGAGAATCACTTGAACCCAGGAGGTGGAGGTTGTGGTGAGCAAAGATTGCGCCACTGCACTCCAGCCTGGGTGACAGAGTGAGACTCTATCTCAAAAAAAAAAAAAAAAAAAAAAAAAAAAAGAAATTTCCTTTGAGATGTCTGCATTCTGTATCTTCCTTATGTTGGAGAAGTTCTTTTCTTGTGCAAACTCAGACCTGACCAGCTGCAAGTTCCCTACCCACCCAGAGATGCGTTATGTGCTTCCTTTCATGGTCATCTTTGGAATTTTCTCATCTTACTATGCAGTGTAATTCACTCCTCTTGTGGCATAACAGAAATAAGCGATACATCCATTCAATGTCAAAATGTTCTCTTCAAATACTTATGATTCTCCCTGAATCCATCAAAGGGATTTAAATACTTTTGATCAAAAAGATTTGCATAATCTTCTAAAAGGAATATTATTATAATCAACCATGAGGGGGAGGACTTCATCCACATTCAATGGCCTCACTATCCTCTTTTTCCAAGGCACACTGTCAAACGTTAGAGTTCACCACAAGTAACCCTGTGACAAAACACAGAGGCATACCGCAGAGTGAGGGTGTCATACCGCAGGATGAGGGTGCCATTCTGCCTCCTTGTTCATTGAAACACAGCTAGAAGCTTTTTGTACCTGTGATTGTGGCTTCCCCCAAAACGATGTCATTTTGTTATCCTCTTCCATGTTGTAGACATTATCCAGCGGTGTCTCGCTCATCAATACCAGAATGTTGGGAGAACAAAGAAACACCTCCTCTCCGATAAATAAAGCTTCGGAGCAGGGAGCAAACTAATGTTGTTTGCCTCTATGCACCTCCCAACATGCAGCAAAAATATTTTGTATTATTGGTAAAAATATAAGAATTAATGAAAATGAGATGAATAATTTTTACCTAAATAATCCAAATGCAGTCACGTAATGTTGGTAGTTGTAAAGAAAAAAGAAAAAAGCCTGAAGGTTATCCCATAGCTGCCTTGAGATACAGGAAATTTCTTATTCTGTAAAGTTTGTATTATAGTGGGTTAAAAAGCAGGTAAACAGGGCACTCGATTTATTTATATTGGGCTTTAGGCTCAAATAAGCATTACTTACCTTCAGACAGTATGAAATTCTGCTGTGCATGGAATGGGATAAAATAGCTTTAATTTAAATTGAGTGTGTATGGAGCACCTTAAGTATCAACAATTTATGATATGTCATTATCATTATACACATTTTATTAAGATAAGCAGAAATGCCAATAAATATATCCTTTTACCCCCTGAAAAGTCAGCCTAAGAGACAAATTTACAAACAAAATGCATAGAAAGTTGCTTGTTCTAGGGGAAAGGGAAAGATCCTTTGTCCTACAGGAAAATCTTGCACTCAACGCCTAGGGCATTTCTTGAGGTCTGTACATAGAGACTGTCATAGTTTCTAACCTTTTGCTCATCAGGAAGAACTCTTCTCATCTTGGGACCTCTTCTCCCTTCTTGAGTCTAACTTAATAGTGCATAATTGAGACATGATTAATAATAGAACTATTCTAGATTGAAGACAGGCTGTTAGTTCTGGTAAGTGGATTCACTATGACAGTGAAGTAAAGAGAGGAAAGTTTTGTAGCTTTCGTTTAGTGAAATGAATACAGAAAGGAGATTTTACCAAACTTGGGTTTCTGAATCCAAAGCATCAAATGAGTTTCTGTAATTGTAGAGAGCTAAGTAGAAGTAGTAGTTAATAGAGTGGTTAGTCTCACAATGTTAATAAATGTGATTGTTATTTTGGTGGTAGTAAATACTTTGTGTTAACCATACACTAGGAGCCACTATCCTAATCAGCTACAAGGCAATCTAATATGCAGCAATGAACTCAATGATAGATTACATGAGTCAATGAAGAAAGAACCATAATTTTCATACAGCCTTTCTCAGAGATATCTGTGCTAAATAATCAACAAATCATCACTTATGGAAAAAATGGATTTTGGCTTTTTTTAAATTTTACTTTAAGTTCTGTATGGATACATGTGCAGAATATGCAGGTTTGTTACAAAGGTACACATGTGCCATGGTGGTTTGCTGCACCTATCAACCCATCACCTAGGTTTTAAACTCCACATGCATTAGGTATTTGTCCTGATGCTCTCCTTTCCCTTGCCCCCCAGCCTGAGACAGGCCCCAGTGTGTGATGTTCCCCTTCCTGTGTGCATTTGTTCTCATTGTTCAACTCCCACTTATGAGTGAGAACATGCGGCATTTGGTTTTCTGTTCCTGTGTTAGTTTGCTGAGAATGATGGTTTCCAGCTTTATCCATGTCCCTGCAAAGGACATGAACTCATCCTTTCTTACAGCTGCATAGTATTCCATGGTGTATATGTGCCCCTTATTTTTTATCCAGTTTATCATTGTTGGGCATTTGAGTTGGTTCCAAGTCTTTGCTATTGTAAATAGTGCTGCAATAAACATATATGTTCATGTGTTTTTATAGAATGATTTATAATCCTTTGGGTATATACCCAGTAATGGGACACATGTCTACAAATTATATCTGGGAAGGTCTGGACAAACACTAGCTCCATGCTCAAAGATTACCACACATACAAATATAAAAATGGACACCATAGACCCAAATACATCATTTTACATTGTCACAGCATTTGAGAGGTTTAATCTTTCAAACGATGGAATAATACAGTGATATTTATAATCAAATTAATGGATGATATTATTGAGTCCTTTTAATTTTGCACTATGAGGTAGTGATATGGTTTGGCTGTGTCCCCACCCAAATCTCATCTTGAATTGTAACTCCCACAATTCCCATGTGTTGCGGGAGGAACCCAGTGGGAGGTAATTGAATCATGGGGGCAGGCCTTTCCCATGCTGATCTCACAATAGTGAATAAGTCTCACAAGATCTGATAGTTTTAAAAATGGGAGTTTCCCTGCACAAGCTCTCCTCTCTTTGTCTGCTGTCATCCATGTAAAACGTGACTGGCTCCTCTTGCTTTTCACCACCATTGTGAGACCTCCCCAGCCACATGGAACTGTAAGTCCAAGAAAGCTCTTTCTTTTGTAAGTTGCCCAGTCTCAGGTATATCTTTATCAGCAGCGTGAAAATGGACTAATACAGGTATTTATTGCTATTACCCATATTTTGAAGATTAAAATTACCAAGACTAAGCAAACACTAGTCATTTTTCAAAGTCACACCTTTACTAGGTGTTGGAGATAAGGTCGAAACTCAGGTCTCTCTGATTCAAAAGTCTACTGCTGAACAACTGCTGACTGTAAATTGTTAGATCCAGGGAATCTCACTGTTTCCACTCAGTCTTATTCTCAGACTTTATCTTAATTCACCTCAAAATCAAATCGTTCAAATCAAAGCAAACCACAGAGGGTTCATTTTAAATCTTTTCAAATTGATTGTGGAAATCAATGCAGCCAAAGCGATTAAACACTTACTGTGTGCCAGGTACCCTGCTAGGTGCTGGAGGAAAAGAGATAAGAGGCAAAGTGCCTAGCTTGGAAAAAATCAGCATAGAGGAAGAGCCATACTTGTGAAGAAGAAACCATCTCACCTGAGCAGGGACAGTCCCAACATGTTTCCAAGGGAGAAGAAGGATGCCAGAGTGTTAGTCTCAGCCCAACCTGGTGCGGGTGGCGATGGCTTTTCTGCCTCACATCAGTGGGGGTCAGTAAGGCGCAGAGGGGAGAGAGTTGAGGAGGAATGCTACAGACAAAAGGGGAATTATTTGTAAAGGGAAATTGTAGTGTATCCCAGAAATATCAATGTTCACCTATAAAGGAAACATATGTACGTGCTGGGGTTAGCATCATTTCTTTGCACTGTTGAGGTGATCCTGGGAAGCAGGTAGATCATAAATATTAAATATCTTCTCTTGATCCCCTGGTCCATTTCAAGTTACTATTGTATTGGATATGAGGTTTAAATCAAAGTTCATGTTTTTGCCTACAGATATCCAGTTGCCCCAATACAACTTATTTAAAAGCTATTTTTCCTCCTTTGAATTGCTTTTTTATATTTGCCAAAAATCTGTTGGGCATATTTGCATGGGTCTATTTCTGGGTTCTCTATTCTGTTTCCTTGATCTGTATGTTCATCCTTTGGCCAGTCTTGATTAATGCAGCTAGATAGTACACCTTAGCTAGATAGTACACCTTACCATCAGAAGACTGACGCCTCTCACTTCATTCTGCCTTTGCAAAATGCTTTGGACTATTCTAGGGCCTTTTTCTTTCTATATAAATGTTTAAATAAACTTGCATATATCTAAAAGTTACATTGCTTGGATTTTAATAGGAGTTGCATTACACTTATAGATTAATTTGGGGAGAATTGACATCTCTACAATGTGGAAACTGCCAATCTAGGAACACAGTATTTCTTGCCATTTATTAAAGTCTTCTTTTATTAATTTTTTTATTAGCATTATTTTTGTAATTTTTAGGGCACAGATCCTGTCCATGGTTTTTATACTTAAGTACTTAATGTTCTTTGGAGTGCTTTTAAATAGAATCATACTTTCAATTTTGGTGTCCACATGTTTGTCATTAGTACATAGAAATGCAATCAGTACTTTTGTGTTGAACTTGTATCTTCTAACCGTACCCAACTCACTCTTAGTTCTAGGAGGTTGGTTGTAAATTTCTTGAAATTTTTGTACATAGACAACTATGTCTTATGCAAACTAAGTTGTATTTCTTTCTCTCCAATCTGTAGGCCATTTATTTATCTAGCCATATCATGCTGACTAAAGTTTCCAGTACTCTGTTGAGTAGCAGTGGTGAGAATTTATGTCATTGGCCTGTTCCTGATTTTAGAAGGAAAGCATTTGGTCTTCCACCTGTAAGTATGATGTTCGCTGTAGGTTTTCTGTAGATCTTCTCTATCAGGCTGCAGAAGTTCCCTTCTATTTCCAGTGTGCTGAATTTTGTTTTTAATCATGAATAAGTATTGAATTTTGTCAAATACTTTCTTTTTCTGTGTCATTTGATATAGCTATACTATTTTTTCTTCTTTAGGTTTCTGATAGATTATGTTGATTTTCAAGTCTTGAACTAGCCTTGAATGCTAGGAAGAGTCCCATTTTTATATGATGAATTATACCATACTTTGTGTACATGGCTGGATTTAATCTGCTAATATTTTATTGAGGAGTTTTGTGTCTAGGTTCATGAGACACACTTGTCTATGTTTTTGTTTTGCATTTCCTATCTATCTATCTATCATCTATCTATCTATCTATCTATCTATCTATCTATCTATCTATCTATCTATCATCTATCATCTATCTATATTTGGATATTAATTCACCTTTATATGTTTAGTAAAAATCTCTGGTGAAACCATATAGACATGAATACTTCTTTTCAGGAGGTCTTTAGTTACAAATCAATTTACTTCATGGTTACAGAACTATTTCTGTATTTGTTTCTCTTTGAGTGAGTTTTGATAGTTTCTGGTTTGTAAAGTATTGGTCATTTTCTCCTAAGTTTTTGAATTTTAGAGGATAAAGTTAATACAAATCACTTATCATTCTTTTAATGGCTACAAAATTGTGGTATTCTTTGTTCCATTCCTGATATTGGTAATTTGTGTCTTTTCTCTCTTTGTCAGTGTTGCCAGAGCTTAATTGATTGCATTGATTGTTTTCCCAAAGAAACCCTTTTTGTTTCAGTGATGTTCTCTGTTCAATTTCATTAATTTCTGCTCTTCATTAATACCTTCCTTCTCCATGTTTGGATTCATTTTGTTCTTCTTTTTGCAATTTTTTGAGAAGGAACTTAGATTGCTCATGTAAAAGCTTTTCCTTTTTCTAACGTCAGCATTTAGTACTATAGGTTCCTTTCTCAGCACTGTTACAGCTGCATTACATGCACTTGATACGTAGAGGTTTTGTTTTCATAACTCTGCAAAAATAGTTTGATGTATTTTTTAACTTCTTTGAGCTTCCCTCTTTGGCCCATGGATTATTTAGAAGTGTGTTGTTTAGTTTCTTTGCATTTGAAGATGTTTCTGTTGACTTTTAGTTATTCATCAGCAGTTTGCTTCCACAGTTGATAGAGGACTATTCTGGATGATTTCAATTCTTTAAATTCGTTAAGATTTGTTTTATGTTTGAGGATATGGTCTATCCTGGGAAATGTTCCATGGGTGGTTAAAAAATGTATATTCTCATTTTGTTGGTAGAATTTTCTGTAAATGTCAAATAGTTCCTTGTGATGGATGGCATTGTTTTTCCATATCTTGCTGATTTTGGTCAAGTACTATATTTCTATCAATTAATGAAAGTAGGATGTTGAGGCCGGGCGCGGTGGCTCACGCCTGTAATCCCAGCACTTTGGGAGGCCGAGGCGGGTGGATCACGAGGTCAGGAGATCGAGACCACGGTGAAACCCCGTCTCTACTAAAAATACAAAAAATTACCCGGGCGCGGTGGCGGGCGCCTGTAGTCCCAGCTACTCGGGAGGCTGAGGCAGGAGAATGGCGTGAACCCGGAAGGCGGAGCTTGCAGTGAGCGGAGATCGCGCCACAGCACTCCCGCCTGGGCGACAGAACGAGACTCCGTCTCAAAAAAAAAAAAAAAAAAAAAAAAAAGCAGGATGTTGAAGCTCCCAACTATAAAAGTGGATTTATTTCTCTTTCATTTCTATTTGTTGTTTTCTTCATGTATATGGAAGCTCTGTTTTTTGGTGCATACAAATTTAGGATTGCCATGTTCCTTTTATCACTATGTAACAGCTGCCTTTCTTTGATACTACTAATTTTCTTTGCTCTAATGTCTATTTTTATCGGATATTAATATAATCACACCTTTTAATTAAAGTTTTTTATGATGTGACTTTTTGCATTATTTTACATGTTTAAAGTGAGTTCCTATAGATAGCATATCATTGTTTCATGTTTTTTTTCTTCCCAACCAATCTGCCTTTTGAGGTGTATTTAGGTCATTTACACTTAAAGTAACTGTTGCAAAGTAACAAAGTAATTGTCAAGGCATCAATTTGCCATTTTAGTATTTGTTTTCTGTGGGTACTCTCAGTTTCCTGTTCCTCTGTTACTTTTTCTCTCTTTTATTTACTGTGGGATACATGAACATTTTCTTTAGAATTCTGTGTTTTTCTTTTCTTTTTTTTTTATTTTTTGAGAGGGAATCTTGCTCTGTCACCCAGGCTGGAGTGCAACCTCTGCCTCCTAGGTTCAACCTATTCTTCTGTGTCAGCCTCCTGAGTAGCTGGGATTACAGGCATGTGCCATCCTGCCCAGCTAATTTTTTTGTATTTTTACTAGAGACATGGTTTAACCATGTTGGCCAGGCTGGACTTGAACTCCTGACCTCAAGTGATCTGTCTGCCTCGGCCTCCCAAAGTGCTGGGATTACAGGCGTGCACCACCACACCTGACCTAGAATTCTGTTTTGATTCATTTATAATGTGCCTGACTATATTGCCATAAATAGTTTTATTTGTTGTTGCTCTAGATATTACAATATACACGTATCTTATCTCAGCCTATTAGTATCAATGTTTTACCTTTTCAACTGAAGTACTGAAACCTTACTTCTAATTCAATCCCTTACCTGCCTACTTTTTAAACTTAACTTTCTTAAAAGTTTCCTCTGTGCACAATGAGCACCATAGCTAATGGTGTTATATATTTGTGCTTCAACAGTGAAATATGATTAAGAAATTCATGAAGTGAAGCATTGTTTATTATGTTAACTCCCATTTTTCTACATTCTATTGTCCTTTTTATTCCTTTATGAAATTTATGGCCTTCGTCTGTTATTATTGACTTTCTATATATTTGTTTGCCTTTAGCTATTAAGTGTAAAGTTTTCTAGCGACAGGTTAGCTTAATTTGTCTTCAACTGGCAATATTTTACCTTTTCCTTCATTCCTGAAGGATAGTTTTATTAGCTATAAAATTCTGTTCTTGGCCGGGCACAGTGACTTATTCCTGAAATCTCAGCACTCTGGGGGCCCAAGGTGGGCAGATCACCTGAGACTGGGAGTTCAAGACCAGTCTGTCTAACATGGCGAAACCCCGTTTCTACTAAAAACACACACACACAAATCAGCTGGGCATGGTTGCATGCACCTGTAATCCCAGCTACTTGGGAGGCTGAGGCAGGAGAATCACTTGAACCTGGGAGGCGGAGGTTTCAGTGAGCCGAGATTGCTCCGTTGCACTCCAGCTTGGGAAACAAGAGTAAAACTTCATCTCAAAAAAAAAAATTATTTTCTTTCAGTACCTGTAAAATGTTGTGATGCTTCTGGCTTCCATGAGTTTCTGATGAGAAACTCATGTTTATTAAGATGGCCTTCCTTTACAAATAATGTCATTTCTCTATGGTTATTTTTTAAAGATTTTTTTTTTTTTTTAGATTTTTAGAACTTTAATTATGCATTTTGTTTGGGATTTCTTTGGATTCATACTGTTTGAAATTTGTTAAGTTTCTTGTATCTGTAGAGTTATGTTTTTTGTCAAATTGGAGAAGTTTTCAGCCATTACATATTATTATATAGAATTTACCAAAATTATATAATTATTTCTTCAAATACACCTGCAGTTTTCCAATTTCTTCTCTTCTGGAATTTTGATGATACAAGTACTAGACCCTCTGCTATTGTCCCAGAAGCCCTTGACACTCTGTTCTTTCTCTTTTTTCAGGTTAATTTTTCTCCATTGTGCAAACTCTCATAATCTGTCTTCATGTTCACTGATTTTATCCTTTGCCATATCCACTGTACTTTTTAGATAATCTAACGAATTTTTTATTTTGATTTTTATATTTTTCAGTTCTATAATTTCCATTCAGGTCTTTTTAAAAATGTACAAAATGGTATGTATTTGTAGAGATTTTCTATCATTTAATTTGTTTTGAGAAAATTTATTATAATATATTTTAAAATCCTTCTTACAACAATTCCTCAATATCAATTACAATATCTCAATGTTGGAGGAAGAGAGTCGGTTGATTTTCTTTTCTCATTCAGGTTATATTTTTTCTGTTTACTTGTAACAAGAGTGATTTTTCAAAATCCTTAATACTTTAGATACTATCTCAGGAAACCCTTGGTTCTATTTAAATCTTCTATTTTTGCATGTACCCTATTTATGTATAGGATATGGTCCTAGCTTACTTTTGTAACACATAATTTCAATGACAATTTAATTATATTTTGAGAGCCTTTTAAATGTGAATCACAGAAACTCCCTGTTCTGCCTTCCTCTGGTCTTAAGGTCTTCAGTTGGTCTATTTTCCCACCACCTTTTAGGGGCCTTTTGTGGTTTTCTATCAAGCTATTTATTCCAAGAGTATTTAGTCATATTTAGAGGGAGGTGCAGGGAAAAGTGAGTCTGTGCCGTCAAAACTTAGGCTTTCTACTTTTAAGTCTAGTATGCTTCTCCTTCCTCTTGGAGATATTTTTGTATCAGAGGTCAACCAGCATTTATTACCTTATGAATGGTCCTCAAGTTTAAGAAGAAAGACAATAAGTTCAAAATGCTTGTATTCTCCATTCCTCCACTGTAGAGTCAAAGGATGGTGAGCCTGAAGCAAGGACACAAGCTCAGGTCTGCCCTGAAATCCACATTCAAGGTGACTGGAAATAAGAAACTAAAACTCAACACATAACCCCAAAGGAGAGATATAAATGTTTGGGGGAGCCAAGTGTTCCACAGAAACCCATCGTGTTTCACTTTTACATAATCAATGCTATTCTCCTTGGTAGAAAGGTTTGTAATTTTACCACATCATGAGAGTTTAAATATCTGCTTTTTAGCATTCTAAAGGCAACAGATTAAATCTAAAGGCAACAGATTAATCATATGAGGTAATAAACTGAAACCACTATGAAATAGTCTCAGCTGGATGCTAAAAGTCAACATGTACAAGTAAATAAAACTATATCAGTGGCAGAATTCTTGGTTATTAAAATGCAGCCAATACTTGTGCCATGAGTCTAACTGGCAATGATGCCCATAAACAACATTTAGATGGCAAGATCATTGAACATTTATTAAAGTATTATGACTACCCCAACAACTACTGTTTCATGTTCATGAGAAAGTTTTTCACCGAAAATTAAGTTTAATCACACCAGTTTAACTTTACTTTGATTATCATACAGCTTACCCCAAGATCTGTGGACTTGTGAGCACTTGATTTATGGCGGATAAATCATGCCCACTGCCCCACGGTCAAAGCTTCTTCATTCTCTTTTCCCAAGGTCAAGTGACACACGACAAAAAGGGTTAAGGGTCCCTCTGATGGCCTTCTTGTCTGGAGGAATAGTCAGTTTTAGCCCGGAATCTATCAGAACTCATTCAAATACAGTGATTTTTTTTTTTTTAACAAAAGTAATTCCTGAGGTTATGAAGGAACACAGACATCTGGACCCCAGTCACCTCAGAGAGAGACAACAAGAGGAAAAAGAAAACTCAAGGTCACAAACCCTCAAGTGGCTTTGATTAGAAGTTAAGATGGACTTCAAAAATACTGGTTGTTCATGCTTAAGAATATGGAAAACTTCATGAATATTACATGCTGTTAATTAAAAGTATAAACAAGACTAGGTGACTTATACTAGATCTGCATATAAATGAATAAATTTAATTTTAATATTATAATACTACCGTAAGACGTATTACATATTCACATGGCTCATGATTTCCTGTGCTATTCCAGGTATATGAATATTCAGCTAGAAGACAACAAGAAAAAAAATAAACTTAAATTACATGTAAATAAAAATACAGAGCAGAAATTAAGTGATAAACATGTGGATCAAAGTTCCTCTAAGAATTATTTCTTCCAAGTATTTTTTGAACTGAAGAGGAGCACTACTTAATTTTTATTGAAATTGTATACATTTATTGCATACAGCATGAGGTTTTGATATACACAGACACAGTGAACAAATTACTGCAGTCAAGCTAATTGACATATCCATTTCTTCTCATATCACTTCATAGTTTCCACTCTTTTTTATTCTGAGAACACTTAAGATCTATTCTTTTAGCAGATTTCAAGTACATAATATGTGTGGGCCATCTAATATTTGTGAAAATTTCTATATTCTCAAATTTGTCAAACCAATATTCACCTTTTATCTTAAAATCTGAAGATAATTTTTTACACCCAATTTAAGCTGGCTTTAAAATTGTGTAAATAATGTCCTTTTTCATTTAATGAACATCAATGTTCCAGATTTTATACTTTTTATTTTGAAGCTGTAGCTTTGGGATAACCAAGGTTTTTAAAAACTTGAACTTCACACAGTGCAATGTTCCTTCTTCAAAACTCTGAAGAGTAGCACATCTAAAAAACAGAAAAAAATCTCAAAAGTTTCCTTGCACTTGGTAAGTCAGTATTCATCCAGTGACCCTAGATAATTGAAGAGGTGCTGCCACTGAATTGCTCAGGCACTCCAGCCTAATTGGGACTCTGTTTATGTTCTCTGTCTATTAATTAATGTGAGTGAAATTAGACAAGTGAAGTGTACCAGCTGTAAGATTATGCAAGAAAACTACTCCTAGACCAGAAGCAATGAAGAGAACACACAGGTTTGGACAATTTAGTCTATCATACATGGGTTCTGAATCTTCCCAGTGTATTGAAATGGAGCTTCAACTGGTAAATACTGGGATATACCCGATGTAAATTTGTCCCAGTGTAACAATGAATATAAAGCTTGCCAAAATTCTTATTTGAAAAATATACAAAAAATACAGGAAATCAGAAACACAGTTAAATCAAATATTCATAAATGTCCAAATACCAGAACTGGACTAAATGTGTTTGCAGAAGCAATGACAGAAAGTTAGTTCTGTCTGACAAAGTTTCCACGGCCTCCTTATGGAATATCTGCAGGATGTAAGAGAATAAACCTGGAGCCAAGACAATGCTGATGGAAAAGGGTTTCTTATTTTATGTAGCTTTTTCTTTAAAAAATTTTATATTACACATACACAGATTTAAAAAGTAAATAAAACTGAACAATTTCTAATGAGAAACAAGTTACCTAAACTGGTGGCCACACCCTACCTTGAATCCAGCTTTCAAAGCCAGTTCCTCTTAGTTCTTTTGATTGTCAGCTCCACTGCTCAAAACTTTATGAATGTACAACTATTTCTCAACTTCTCGCTAGATGTTATGTTTTATTTAGATGTTACGTTTTGACTTGAGGGATTAAGAATACAGCTGATTCAGCAACTCATCACTCCTTCCACGTTCCTCATCTTTCCCCTGACAGTACATGTTAAATTATTTTCAATGATTACTTTAATTTTGTAAAAGTTTTGAAATGATTATAGATTCACAGCAAGTTGCAAAGATAATACAGAGAGGTCCCATATAGCCTTCCCCCATCTTCCCCATTGGTTACCTTAAGTAACTGTAGTAAAATATTAACATCAAGAAATTAACTTTGGTACCTTGTACAGTTCTATATTATTCATCATGTGAGTAGAATGGAATAACTGCAATCAAGATACAAAAACATTCCAAGTTCAAAGATTTCTCTCTGCTGCATTTTCATAGTCAAAAATCACCCAGCACCTCGCTATCCCCTATAACCACTAATCTGTCTTCCAACTCTGCAATTTGATTGTTTCAGGAATGGTCATAGATAAGTCACACATTATGTAACCTTTCAAAATTGGCTCCTTTCCCTCAACATAATGCCTGTGAGATTCGTCCACGCTGTTGGAATTGTCAATGATGTGTTCCTTTCCACTGCTGAGTCTCTTTTCACAGTGTGGATGCACCACAGATTCTCTAACCATTCACTTATTATAGGCTACTTCGGCTGTTTTGAATCTTTAGCTGTTACTAGAAAAGCTGCTATAAACATTTGTGCCTAAGATTTTGTATGAATATAGATCTGTAATTCTCTGGGATATGTGCTCAGGAATATAATTGTTGGATCAGTTGATAGTTGCATGTTTAGTTTTCTTCTTTTAATTCCCATTTTTTTCTCCCTAATATCTGTACCATTTCATATTCTCACCTGTGATGTCTGAGTGATCCAGTTACTCCACATGCTCACCAGCATTTGGTGTTGTCTACGTATTTCAGCCATTCTGAAAAAACATTCAGTGGTACACCATGGCTTTAACTTGCATTCCCCTATTAACTAAAGATATTGAATGCCTTTTCATGAACTTGTTTGCCATCTGTGTATTTTCCTTGATGAAATGTCTCTCCTGATTTTTGCCCAGGTTGTAATTGGATTGTTTGCTTTCCAATCTGTAAGCAGAATATGTCTCTAAATTATGTATCTTCTTTGATTTCTTTCTGAATGTTTTTGCAGTTTTCAGCATACAAATATTGTATATGTTTTGTTAGATTTATATCCAAGCATTTTTTGAGTGATTGTACATGGTATTTTATTTTAAATTTTGGTATCCATATATTCGTAGATACTATACAGAAAATGTATTTTGCATGTTCATCTTGCATCCTGTGAACTCACTCAACCCATGTATTAGTTCTGAAAACTTTTATCTGTCCTTCTTAATAGCTTGAGGTACATAACCATGTGATCTGCAAATCGGAACAGTTTTCTTCCTTTCTGATAAGGATGAATGTTATTTCCTTTTATTGACTTATTGTACTGGATAGAACTTCCAGCATCATGTTGAACAAAAGTGATAAAAGTAAACATCCTTGCTTTGTTCCCTGTTTTAGAGGGAAGGCATTAGATGTTTTGTCATTAAGTATAATGTTAGGTGTAAGTTTTTTGGAAATACTCTTTATCAAGTCCATCTTTTTTCTGAGAGTTATATCATGAATAGATGTTCAATTTTGTTACATGCTTTTTGTTCACTGATTGATATGATCGTGTAGTTTTTTTTAGCCTATTAATAAGTTGGATTATACTGATTGATTTTCCAAGACTGAACTTGCCTTGCACCCCTTGAATAAACCTCATGTAATCATGGTATATGATTTTTTATATATTGCTGAATTCTGATTGGTAATCTTTTGTTAAGGATTTCTGCGTCTATATTCACAAGCATTATTGATTATTAATCTCTAGTTTTATTTTCCTTTTCTGTATTGTCTATTTTGGTATCAAGATAATACTAGCTTCATAAAATGAAATAAGAGTGCTCCCATCTCCTCTATTTCTTGGATGAAATTATGTAGAATTGAAATTAAGTTCTCCTGTGAAACCATATTAGTCTGGGGATTTCTCTTCTGAGAGTTTTAAAATTTATTTTTCCTAATAATTATAGGACTATTCAAATAATTTCATATTGGGTGAGTTGAGGTAGTTGGGTTTTTTTAAGGAACTTATCCATGTCACCTAAGTGGGTGAATGTGTGTGTGTAGAGTTGCTCTTTAGAGTCAGCTATTATGTTTTTGATGTCTGCATGATCTCTAGTGATGTCTCTTATTTCCTCCTTGATGTTCATAATTTGTGTCTTCTTTCTTTGTTTCTTTGTCAATATTGTCAAGAAGAGTGCCAATTCTTTGATTTTTTTCAAATAACCAGTGATTTTCTCTTATTGTTTTTGTGTCTTTGGTTTCACTGTTTTCTGCTCTTGTCTTTATTACTCCTTTTCTTCTAATTTGCACTTGTTTTACTCTTCATTTTCTAGGCTCTTGAAGTGGAAACTTAGGCTATTTGATTTTTTCCCTCTGTCTTTAATGTAAGCATTCAGTTCTATAAATTTCTCTCTCAGCCATGTTTTAGCTTTGTCCCACAAATTTTGACATTTTTTCACTTTCATTAAGTTCAATATATTTTTTATTTTCCTTGAAACTCAGTTTTTGACCCTTGGGTTATTTAGAAATATGCTGTTTAGTTTCCAAATGTTTGAAGATTTTACTATTATCTATTACCAGTTTGACTTTATTGTGGCCATGAACCTACGTTCTGTGCTCATACTCTGTATGATTTCAATTTTATAATTTGTTGACTTTAGTTTTCTGTCTACTCGTTTTTATGTTTCATCTGTATAAGTAAATTGGAGAAATCTTCATCCCTGTGTCCCTTTCTTTTCCTCCTTTGTAATATGTTTTTCTTGAATATTTCCTTGATGTAATGTAAGAACCATTTGATATGGTATTAAAGTTTTTGCCTCAAATGCCAAACATAATTTAAAAATCTCAAGAGGAAAATGAATATTTATCATTTATCCATATTTTTACTCTTCTTTGTTCTTTATTTCTGGTGTTCCAAAATTCCTTCTTTTATCCTCTTTGTTTTTGTTTAGAGAACTACATTTAGCTATTTTTTGTAGGGTAGGGATACTAACCATCCATCTCTCAGTTTTCCTTCAGCTGAGAATTTCTTGATTCCCCTCAGTACTGGAACATACTTTCACTGGATATAGAATTCTATGTTGATAATTCTTTTCTTCCAGAATTTGAAAATGATGCCTTGCTGGTTTCTTATGAGAAATCCACTATCACATGAATGTTTTCCCTCTGGGTGAGGTGTTAGTGCGCTTTCTTCCTGCTCCTTTTTTTTCTTTGTGTTTAATTTTCAGATGGTTTACTAAGACGCGTCTTGGTGTAGATTTGTTTCTTTGTTTGGTTGGTTATGCTGCTTGGATTTTGCCCAGTTTCTTCAATCTCTTGTTGTTCAATGCCTTTTACCAAATTTGTTAAATTTTCAGATACTTTTACTTCAAGTGTTGTTCAATCCTACCTTCTTTTTTTTTCTCTTTCTGGGGTTCGGATGGCATGAATTTTAGATTTTTTTGTGTGTGATAACACCATATGTCTTCAGATCCTTTTTTTGTTTGTTTTCAATCTACTGTTCTCTCTATTGTTCTGTTTGAATACTTTTTATTGTTTTCTCTTCAGTTCACTGTTTGTTTGCTTTATTTCCTCTGCTCTGCTGTTTAGAAAATCCATTGACTTTCATTTCTTTAATTAGACTTTTATAGTTTTTAGTTTTAAAATTTCTATTTGGTTCTTTTTTATATCATTCACTTCTGGGCTGAGGCGTTCCTTTTTTTTTCATTTGTTTCAAGTATGTGCATAGTTGCTCATTGCAGCATTTTTATGATGACTGCTTTAAAATCTTTGTCAGATAATTCTAACATCTTGGTATTCTTCGTATTGGCATCTACTGATGGCATTCTTCATTTGGTTTGAAGTCTTCCTGCCTCTTGGCATGACAAATGGGTTTTGATTAAATCCTGGACCCCTGCGTATTGTTATGAGACTCTGGATCTTCTTCCAGGTGGGAGTGGAAGCACAGTTTCCCTCTCAGCCTCCTTGACACCTGGAGGGAGCAGGAATGCCTTGCTGCTCTTTTCCGCACAGTTGCCACTGGCACCTGCTCGGTGGGGATCTTCGTTGCCACTGGGTGATTGTAAAATTTCTGATTCTCCACTAGGCTTCTTCTGACAGGACCCCTGGCTTGTCACCGCCAGCTAAGAGTGAAGGTTCTGGGCTCCCCTCGTCTGTCTGATCTGCCCCCCTTCACCCGGCAGGGATGTGAGACACTACTCTGCTTTCGGCTTTCTCCAACACTGCCAGGCAAAGGAATTGAGTTCCCTTTTTATGGCCTGGTGAAGGTGGAAATCTGGGCTTTCCCTGGTCCGTTGCTGGCAGAAGTAGAAGTCAGAATTGAGTATTTCCATGGTGTTTGGCTGGAATGGGACTGTTATTTTCTAAACGTTTCCTCTCTTGCTAGGCTGGCTTTTCCCTGGTCCTTTGTCTAGATAGAACACACTTTTGTTGTGTTTGTTTATGCATGCCCAAGCATATGTGCATGTGTGTTTATGTGTGTATGCATGTGTGTATGTGCATGCATGTTTTTATGCATGAGTGTGCATGTTCATGTGTTTGTGTGTGCATGCATGTGTGTGTGCATGTGTGTATGTGTGCATGTGTATGTGTTTGTATGTGTGTTGTGTGCATGTGCGTGTTCATGTGTGCATATGTGTGTATGTGTGTGCATGTGTGTGTATGTGTGTATATGCATGTGTGTTTGTGTATCTGCACTTTTTTAGTGCATCCAGGTGATTACTTCTCTAGAAACTCATCTGGTAAACATGTGGCAAAAAAGAGGCCCAGCCAACTCACTGCTGTGTTGCTCCTGCCCAAGGTTCTGTGGTCCTGTGATGTGGTTTGGTTGTGTCCCCACCTAAAATTATATTGTAGCTCCCATAATTCCTGTGTGTTATGGGAGGTACCTGGTGGGAGATAATTCAGTCATGGGGGCGGGTCTTTCCCATGCTGTTCTTGTGATAGTGAGTAAGTCTCAATAGATTTAATGGCTTTAAAAACAGGCATTTCCCTGCACAAGTTCTCTCTTTGCCTGCCGCCATACACATAAGATGTGACTTTGCTCCTCCTTGCCTTCTGCCATGATTGTAAGGCCTTCCCAGCCATGTGGAACTGTAAGTTCATTAAACCTTTTTCTTTTGTAAGTTGGCCAATTTCAGGTATGTCTTTATCAGAAGTGTGAAAATGGATTAATACACCCTGCCCATCTACCTTCCTCCCTCCACCCTTGGAATCCTGTGTTTGGTTTGCATACCATGTTCATGGTGATTAGTTGTCAGGGGAAAAAGAAAATATGCCTCTTTTCTAGCTTTCATGAAGTGGAAGTCTTGATTGGTTACCTTTCAGTTTTAACTATTTCCTGATTCCTTTACCTATGATGATATTGATTGATGGCAAACAACCTGGTGGCATGAAAAACACTAGGTACAAAGTCAAAAAACAAATGTGGGTGTTTGCTTTTCAACTTGCAAAGAAAACACTGAAGACATAATAATGAATATGCAATAGAATGTAAGCATAAGTAGGCATCTGACAGACTGGTGGTGTCACAGAAAGAGTGAGGTAGAAGAAGGGAACTAATGGTAGTTAACGGTCTTTGGCCTCACCAGGTTCCTAGAAGGCTGTGTGGTGAGCAGTTAAAAATATATACAGTTGAATCACATTTTGTCTGTTATACCCGTCAATTCCTACCTATCTTTCCTCTGTCCAGCTTTTCAGGGTGAACTTCTCGTTAATAGCAGATGTAGTCTCATTACACTCAGAATCAAAAATATCCAACAAGGTATCATGAAAATCACTCCAGCCTAAAGAACCTTGAGGATTTGGAAACAATCCTGACTGCTTCTCTAAAACTTTGGCAGTGTCAGAAACGTGCTGTACTTTATCTTGGTGCAACCCTCCCCTCCTCCCCAGCTAATATTTTGCTCCTTGAGAAACCAGGCTGTTTATTTTGTTCTTTCCCGTGTAGGGTTTTGGTATATGCTAGACATTCTCTCTGCTGTTTATTTCAGGGAACTGGAAAGTTGGCTCACAGTTGGACTGGATCTGTCTTGCCCTGATTAGGTGACACTCAGCCCACATCCCCTCCATGTGTCTGCCTTGGTTCCTTTGGTTTTCACTCCACTTCCCTGGCTTTGAGCCACCTCCCCTCCCAGCATGCCCATGTTCTCACCTCTGCTAAGACCAGGTGCTAATTACCCAGATGCCTATCATTAAAGAAACTGTGGTGGAAATATCTTTTTACTGTATCAAACAAAGTAAATCATTTTACAACTTTGCAAATCATTCCCTATTAAATTAATGTTTTAACTGTGCATACCATAGTGGGACTTCATAAAGTGTGTGCCCATGATTATTTTGGTTAAAAGTCAAAGACGTGAATCAGGGAAGCTAAGAGAAGAGCCGCTGTCATGCTCCTGCGTCTCAGGGAGTCTTCCTACTTAGTGACTCCCAGGACAGGCTGTGAGTTAGAGTTCCCTGGTAGGTCGTTTGAGAACTGCTAATCTCCACTCCCTCCCAAAATGATCCAGTCATAATCTCTTAGAGGTGGTGTCCGGGCAAAGGATGGGGCTGTCTCCATCAACTTAGAGCCTGAAATTCAGACATATTTCTGCACTCTGTAACACATCAGAGTGATTTGACATACAACTTAGCTTTTGATAGGATCTGATTTGACATTGCAAAATAACTGAAATAGAAAAATATCTTGAATATATGTGTCCATAATAAGACAATTATTAAGAAATTATGTGGTTTCATAATTTAAACCCATTAACAAAATAATGCAATAGCAATGGTCTTATCCTTCCTCATGGAAACTTCCATGAGGCCCCTGTTTTATTGAGTCCTGCGTTTCTTTCCACTTGGGGACGCTTTGCTGCAATGTGGGGGTCCAGTTAGGTAGGGACGACCTATCCTAATGTCCTCCTTGCCCTTCACATTTTGGTTCAAAAAAGTAGGCTGTCAGGGGAATTGTTGTAGAGCTGGGTCTTCCACACCCTAAGAACAGGCAGGTAGCTATTTCCTCCTGTGTGAGCCTGCAGTCTTACCACGTTGGTACTCTGAGAGAAGATGCTTGGGCTGAATTTTGCAAAGAGAAAGTTGGCACCATTATCAGAGATTTCTATCTCTAATATCACAGAGGACAGAAATGAGCACCAGTGGCTCCATCCTACATAAACTATGGCCCCTTTGCAGTTCCCTGAAATACATGAGCCCCCTGAGGTTGGACCCACAGTCAGTGGCTGGGCTACTCCTTGGTCTTGCTGAGTAGTGGCTCAGAGTCAAATTTGCTTTGATTTATACAAATTAAGTAATTATTCTCATATGTTTACACTGCCCATGCCTTATCTCCACTTTGTCTAGGACCTGCCTAACCAAGGAAGCTTTTGGGGTGAAATGTGAGGTCATGAGATGCTGACATCCCCACACCCAGTCCTGCAGCCGCCTTGTCTCCCTCGTCTGTGTGTCGTTGACCAAGACAGTGGTTCCATAGTCACTGCCAAGAACACTGACCCAAGATTCCTGCCTCATTGAAAGGAATAGTGTCCCCTGATGAAGCTCCCCGATAGCTCAAGGTCAGCTAAAGGATGGAGCTGCTCCTGGTGTGTCTCTGTGGCCTCAGTTCCTGTGCACTGAGATGCAGTTTAGTGAGCTCACTTCAGTCCCCCCGTGATAGTTAGAAGAAAATATCAACATTGAAGGTTAAAAACACCAACCACTAGAGATGGTACTGAACTTCTACTAATGGTGATTGATGTATTTCTTTCTTACACATAAACTGTAAAATCTCTATCTTCAGATTAATACATACAGACTAACAATGTCAGGTTTGCTATTTACATTTAAATTAAAATATTTAAGATTTGAAAGTGTTATATTGATTCTAAATGTTTAAAGCTGTTGGAGGGCCTCGCCCTTTGTGTCTTTCCACTGGCATTGGTGTGTGACCAACAATGGAGCCCAGAAGGCCCCTGGGGATGATACAGACCACCGAGGGGCCCATTTGCTCACATTTGCAACTGGGTGGGAGGGAGGAGAAAGGAGGCTCTCAAATGTCATCCAGAAAGGACCTTATTCCTTTGCTACCACTTCCTGTGCTTTTCATTAAAACCCAAAGCCTTTTGTTCATCTATTTAAACAAAAAAGTAAAAAGAAAAATCTGGGCTCTGATTATAGCCTGGCTCCACCTTCTTCCAGCCTGCGCATCACTCATTCTCACTTTGGGGTAGATTGGCGAAGTAAATTAAAGTGTACACACTCACGCACACAGAGAAAGGAGGGGGGAATACAACTAAGCACACATGACCCAGCCTTTTTTTCTGAGCTCCCGTTTCTGTCAGTGACAACACAGTAGCAGCCAGGGTTGACAGCCACGTGTGTGCTTGACACCTGCTGTAAACTCTTATCTTCCTTTACTGCTGTTTTTGTAAACACGTATGAATCATAGTTCTCTTGTGCCTTAAGCTGAGCAAGAGTTGCTTTTCTTGGAGCCTGGCCAGCTGCTGATGGAAATCCACTTCCTGTGCAGAGATGTGCTGTTCCTGCCCTCAGCATGGCCTGTGGTTCCATCCAAGGCACTTCTCCCTTGGGCATCCATGAGGGTTCATTTTTCCTCATGAGGGATTGGGAGACTGTCATTAGAAAAGTGGGAAAAATAGCAAATATTGCAATAATCCAGGCTTCCTTATTCATTCAGTAATAATTGAGCACCTGCCATGTGCAATACGATTCCGGAGTCTGGGAACACCTTACAGGGTAAGTCACACAAAGACTTCCACCTGCCGGAGCTCACATTTCAGGAATAGAAGGGCAGCTACAATTAATAAACATGATAAGTAAGGTGTATATTATGTCAGAAAGTGAAAAGTAGCATGCAGAGAAGTTCATGTAGAGAAAGATAAGAGAGATCAGGAGTTGATCAGGAAGCGGGAGCGGGTGTTTTAATAGTTGTGTTGAGTATGTAGACCTGATTCTCTCCATCATTCCAGACCCAGAAAGAGCCTCATTTTGTCTAATTCTTCCCAAGTTGTTGATGAGTGTAGTGGGGTGAGGCAAGTTCTCTTGTTCCATCTTGTTCACACTATCATTGGATTTCTCTTTTCTCCATTACTTCAACTTTATAGAATTAAATGCTACTCCCAAAAGGCTAATTGAAAGAGCAAATCTGCCCCAAAACTTAAAAAGGAATTCTCCTTTTCACACAGATAATCCAGGGAATGGACACAAATGAATCTTGGACATTTCTCTACTAGTATTTGAAATGTGTCCTAATGGAAAAGACCAAGTGTTTTCTCTTGAGAATGAATAAATGTCAGGTCCAAGGAGCTGGAAGTTTATGGGGCTGTTTATCACGTGGACAGTGCAGAAGTGGTCCAGGAAGTGTCTCTCCAGACAGGCACCATGCAGCCCAATGAGCCATGCTGTGCCTTTGTGGACCTTCTTCCTAGGAAGCATGGTGACTGGGACGACCAGCCAACAATGACACCTGCTGATGAACAAAGGCTGATTCAAACAATTGGCCGTAAACATTCGAATAAGTTCTATAGATTTAACTCACTCCTGAAAATTTCCACAAGCAGAATTCGGAATGTTTATAGCTTTTTTATTCTATCTTGTTCATTTTGCCATTATATTTTCCTTAAAGTTGATTATTTATTTATGGGAAACTCCAAAGTGCAAATTACTTTTTATCAAACTTTATATGCTTTTTCCTCTCAGTTCTGGTCCTAACCCAGAACTTCATCCCTCACCTCTTGAATTTTGGAAAAGCCTTCTTGAGGAACTATTTAAATTTACCTTCTAGATTCATTTTGCATATTGTTGCAAGACAGTTCATGGGCTTTAAAAAGTATACTTTTCCTCCTTAAATGAGGATCTCTGTCTGCTTTCCTGCTAGTTTTTGTGAAAGACATGTGAAGCCTTTCATACTTGTTCTATTAATTAGTTGTTATTCTATTATTAGTTGCTATACATGTTCTGTTATATTTACTGATCCATCTTAAATATGCCGTAATCATTTTCACTCAATATTTTTTACTACTTCCCTCTTTACTAGAATATGACTCTTGATCCCCTGAATGTATTTTAATTCTACTCATCATTACAAACCAAATTAATTCTAACATATTCCATAAAGCTTTCTTCGACAATTGCAAAACCCATTGACTCATTTATGAAACCAATACTCACTGAATGTCTACTAAATGCCAGATACTATTGAGGTACTTGATTTAGGGAATCCAGTAAGCCAAATAGAAACACTTGCCCTTGTGGATAATTTTTAACTTAGAAGAATGTACCATTGTTCACAAATAAAACCATATTTTATATTTTATAAATATTAAACAATTTTTAATAAATATAGGTATGTATTTACAGTTTTGCCTCCATAGCATACAAGTTCTTCAAGTGCAATCATGCTTCCGTTTGAAATAAATCATATGTGTAGCCTACATATTTTCCAAAACAAAAGTTACTAAGTTAATTACTTATTAATTCTAAGATTTTTGTATGCTCAAGTTTAAAATTGGCTATAGTAGAACTTTCAAGCTCTTAGAAATGTAGAAGAGGAATTTACAATTCTTTTGGTTTACAGATAAGGAAAATAAAATCTTTCAACTTACTTACAATGTCAGCCAGTTTATGGTGTCTACAATGCTAAATGTAAAGTTATGCCATTGAATCATTTTTCTCTGAAATTTAAAGGTAATACCCTTTAAAAATAAAACAACAAAATGTGTATAGAAGTCATGTGTAGAAACTGTCGACCCTAACCAGTAAGTTACAAATGAGGAGCAGGAAATTCTATAATATACAAGTTTCAATAAAGGTGATGATGTCTATTCTTGGGAGATTATTACTACATTGAGAGTGTGTGTGTGCATGCATTTGTGTATGTGGAGTCTGAAAAAGTCTGAAAATTTTATTATACTCACTGTACCCACTCTGAAATGAAAATGTGTTGGTTGATAAAAAATGCTCTGAAAAAAATTACTTCTGGAAAAGAGATTATCAAGAAATTATTTCCCAATGTGTTTCCCACACTATTCAGATAAGAAGGGACCCTGGCCTGGGGACTTTGGAATTTGGTCTCTGACAAGTGCATTCTCAAAGTATAACTGGATACATGGCATCTCTTCTCTCTTTTTTCATTGATCTCTAACTGTATTAGTTATTAGTATAGATATCAAAAACAATGAGATAAAATTACACCATACAGTTTTTAGTGTTTATTTTTTAGTTGTGAGTTTCAGGTAATTCAAATGTTAACTTTTAACTAACTCCATTGTCTATTATGAATATTTATTCCTTTTATAATTATTCAAATATGTTAGTTTAAAAAATATTTATGTAACAAATTTCCTCTTAAAATTTGTTTCAAGCACTGAATTAGTTACTAAGTATACAAAGATTAACATAACAAAATCTCTGTTCCACTGACTTCATTATCTAGTAGGGAAAATACAAAAACAGATGTAAACAAAGAGATGTATGGGATTACATAATTCTCTACGTAGACACGCAAAGATGGTATTGTAAACTATTGTATTTCAGTGACCAAAAAGCATGAAATAATGTGATATTCTATGCAATAAAATAGTGCACTGAGTGGTCCAACAGTTACTTGTTAAATAAAGCTTTGCAATTATGCCAATGCATACCATAAGTCTGAAAAATATGGATTTTTAAATAAAAAATCCCACTCATAGAAATTTATCTTAGAGACATAATCAGTGATCTTTAAAAATATATACATATGTATAGAAGCACAGCAATATTGAGAAAAATATAAAAACTACGAATCATCTAAGTTATCTAATTAAGTGGGATTGGTTTACTACATTAATTATAAACTGTTATGCAGTCATTAAAAATCATTTTATAGAAATATGTTGACTGATCTGTGAAAATGTCCCTGATATAATGTATGATTTTAAAAGTTTATAAAGTAATATTTACCAATATTTTTAAAGAAAAAAATAGGTTATTCTTGCACTTTTCTCTTTCTAAGCATGTGTTATTCTTGAGTTTCAAAGTAAAATCACATGATCATATCAATTGATGCACAGAAAGCATTTGAAAAATATCAACATCCATTTGTAATAAAAACTCTCAGAAGGAAGGAATAGAAGGAGAAGTGATAGACAATGTTTACAAAAAGCCTATAGCTAACACTCTACTTAATCAGAAGATTCAATGCTGTCCCTTACAATTGGGTAAAGGACAAGAATGTCCACTGTAACCACTGCTATTCAACACAGTGCCAGCAGTTCTATCCATTGCAATAGGACAACAAAAATAAACGTTTTTGCAGTTGTCATGATTGCAACTGCAACTTAAAATTTTTTAAGTTGTCTACTTAAAAAATTCCAAAGCTCTATATTAAAAAAAAATCCTCTTAGAACCAATAAAGGAGTTTTGTAAGGTTGCAAGATACAAGATAAATATACAAAATTTATTTGCATTTCTATATTTAGCAGTGAGCATGAGGACATAAAGTTAAAAATAAAATAACATTTACAATCAGTCAAAAAAAGAGAACTATGTGGCAATGAGGTTTTTCACTTGCAAAAAAAACCACAAAATGTTTGGGTTTTCTTTCCTCACTCCACTGCCTGCCCCATCAACCAATTCTCTAATGCTAGCCAGATTTGTCTTAGTCAGTTAAGGTTGCTATAAAAAAGTATAGATGAGTGGCTTATAGACAACAGAGACTTATTTCTCACAGTTCTGGAATCTGGAATTCTGAAATCAGGGTGCCAATATAGTTGGTTTCTGTTGAGGGCCCTCTTCAAGGTTGCAAACTGCTGACCTCTTTTTGTATCCTCACATGGCTGAAAGAGAAAGAGCTAGCTCTGGTCCTCTTCCTGTAAGGACACTAATACCATCACGAGGGTGCTGCCCTCATGACCTAATCACTTCCCAAAGGCCGTATCTACTAAGCCTCCTTGTTGGGGGTCAGGACTTGAACATATGGATTTTGGGGAGACACAGGCATGCATTCCATGACAGTGGTTTACAATTCAGTTCGGTTCTAACTGCCTCCCTGTAGTTTGCATCAGGTGCCATGATTAAAGGTTCAGCCCTACAAGACTTACTCCACTGTAAGTCCCAAGCCTCCCATACTTCTGACGAAACATCTATGAATGAAACATTCCCACAACCTTTCCCCTGGGTTTTATAATTTGCTGGAATGGCCCACAGGCCTCAAGGAAACAGTGTATTTGTGATTACAGATTTATTATAAAGTATAAACTCACAGTCAAATGGAAGAGATGCACAGAGCAAGATGTGGGGAGGGCTGAGAAGCTTCCATACCCTCTCTCCGGGCACCTTGATTTGGTCACCACCCTGGAAGCTCTTTGAACCCCCCTGTTGTTCAGTTTTTTAATAGAGGTTCTATTACCTAGGCATGATTAATTAAATCACTGGTTACTGGCAATTAACTCAATCTCCTTTCCCCAGAGGTTCAATGTTGGAGCTAAAGTCCCAACCCTGTAATCACAGCTTGGTCTTTTTGGTGACAAGCCCCCATCTTGAAGCTCTCCAGGGGCTCCCAGGCACCAGTAATCTAATTAGCATCCAAAGAAAACCTCTCTTTTATCACTCTAGAGATTCCAAAATTTTAAGAGCTGTATATAGAGAACTGAGTATAAAGAACAAATACTTTAACAAAAGAGGCTTTTATCACTGAGGAAATTATAAGAGTTTTAAGAGCTGTGTACCAGGTACCAGGGAAATAACTAAATATATATTTTTTATTATACCACAATATCACAAGTATAAGTCCAATAAAATGTATGTATAATTTGTATGCTGAAAACTAAAGAAAATAAATAAATGGAAGAATATTCTGTGTTCATGGATTAGAAAATTCAAAATAGCAAATGTCAATTCTTTCCAAATTGATACACAAATTCAACAAAATTCCTATCAAAATTTTAAAAATGTTTGTAGATGTAAATAATTTTTTGAAGAAAATTTGTATGGAAAGACAGAGAAACTAGAGTAGCTAAAGCAATTTTGAAAAGTTCAGTAAGACCAGATAGATTTAAAAATTGCCATGCAAATAAATAACTGCCATGAAGACAAAGTGTTGGTCAAAGAAGCTCTCTGGAGCAAATCCATCAGCAGAGGTCTTGGAAAGGGAGTGGTGGTCCCTTAGGGACCACCATCCTAATTGCTACTTTCCATTTCTCTTCCTTTTTAAAAGCTTTTTTCCACTTCTAGTTTTGTTTTATTTGAACTAGCTGTGTGTGGTTTTCGTTTAATTTTCTTTCTCTTGTACTAATTTGGACATTGTGGAATGTATAGTCTATTTTCATTTAGTTATAATCCTAGCTCCAAGCCAAAAATCATCATTTTGTTTGAATTGTTATAGTGGTCTCCTGAGTAGATTCTCAGCTTCCCCCTCCTCCCTAGCAGTGTTCTCTGGGGAGTGGTTGAAGTCACCCCTGAAAGGCAGGCTTTCTGGTTATTCCGCTCTAGTTTAATGGCCATTTTTCTCTGCTTTATTTCACTGTCTTCCAATTCCAATGCTGCTAACAAGAAGTCGGATTCCAGTGGCATTCTCTCCTTTTCATATCTTTCCTTTACCTTTTGCACTTGTAGCTTTACTAAGGTTTATCTCATCATGAGTTGTTATTCATTTTTTCTGTTTGAGATCTGTTGGGTTTTGAGGCTTGGTGTCTTTAATTCTAGAAATGTCTAATTACCTCTTTACCTATTCAATTTTTACCAGTCTGCCTTGGTTATTTTGATGGTCTTCAAAAATCATACTTTCTATGTACTCTCTCTCTTTCAGAGATGTTTTTAAAAACAAATAAACATATGTTATGGTTGGTACCTCATTAATTGAGGATCTGGTTTTGCTATTTTTCTGCTTGTCTTAACACTCTGAGGCATAATTAGTTTTTGGTTGTGTGTGTGTGTGTTATTATGAGCTTTTAATCACTGTGACGTTACCTGTGGGATCTGTTTAATGTGTGTTCCTCCAGAAGATTTAGGAGAGTTCTAAACTATCATGGGATATGGCTTGCAGGTAGACATGGCCTTCTCCTTTCGTTCTTTCCATTCTTCCTTCCTCCTTCCTTCCCTTTTTCTTTTTCTTCTTTCTTTCCTTTATTTTTTCCTTTTCTTCTTTTCTTTCCCTCCTTCCATCTTTCCTTCTTTCTCTCAATCTTTCTTTCTTTTCTTCCTTCTTTCTTTCCTTCATTCCTTTTCTTTTTCTCTTCCTTCCATTTTTCTTTCCTTTCTTCCCTCCATCTTCCCTTTCTTCCTTCTTTTTCTTTTTCTTCCATCTTTTCTTTCTTCCTTCCCTTTCTTTTTCCTTCCTTCCCTTCCATTTTCCTTCCTTCCCTTCCTTTTTCCTTCCTTCCCTTCCTTCTTCTTTCCTTCTTTTTTCCTTCCCTCCTTCCTCTTTTTCCTCTTTACTTTTTTTTCATTCTCTTCCCACACCTAGAGACAGGACTAAAACAGGAAAATATATTTCCCTCTTCTTCAGGGCAGTTTTCTTTTCTGCATTCACTGAGGGTTTTGGGTTTCAGGGGCCCTGGTTTTTTAGAAGAGTCTGCAATCTGACCTCTACCCCTGCTTGGGAAAGTAGCATTGGTCTTCATTCTTACAACTTACGAAGGCACAAAATTAATGCTGCCACCAGGCATGGTTAGAGGCCCCAGGGAGGGCCAGCTTCTGGGCTTTCTCCTTCTTTTTGCATTTCCATTGTTTCTCGCCTTTAAGGATTTCACATTCTAGCCATTGGCATACTCTTTTTAATTTCGCATATAATTTTTAGGCGTTTCTAGATATATAACTTGCTATAGTGCTGGCAAGGTGAGAGTCTCTCTACAGTCAACCGTATTGCTGGCAAAAAAAAGTCATATATTTTAACTTCTAAAAATCCAATGAGAAATATAAATAGAGATGCTAGGTAGATAGTTAAGTACACAAGTCCAGAGCTCATCAGAGAGACCTGGGTGGTGATATAAATTTAATGGCCTAGGCCTGAAAGTACTAGGCTGGACTCTGATGGACCAGGTGGTGAATGTCATGTGGACATTAAGGGGAACATAAGGGGACCCATATCCTGTGCCTGGGGAAGGCTGGGCTCTGGCAGGGCAGGCGGTGAATGTCATGGAAGTGAATGTAGATGATGAGGATTAAGCCACTTTTGAGTTTATTGTGGATTGAAGTGAGAAATTGAATGTGTTCTAGAAAGAAATATGCTTTTTGGGGAGGTTCCTTTTATAATATAAGAGTTTTTTAAAGCACTGATGAGAATTTATGGTTCACAGGTTCAAAGACAGAGAATGTAGTGAACACCACAAGGTTCCTGAGTCTTTGGGGATGGATTTGACAGCAGAGGTGGGGGCACTGATATTTTATTTATTTATTTATTTATTTATTTATTTATTTATTTATTTATTTATTTATTTATTTAGAGGGAGTCTCACTTTGTTGCCCAGGCTGGAGCACAGTGGCACAATCTGTTCACTGCAAGCTCCACCTCCCAGGTTCAAGTGATTCTACTGTCTCAGGCTCCCAAGTAATAAGGATTACAGGTGCCTGCCACCACGCCTGGCTAATTTTTGTATTTTTAGTAGAGATGGAGTTTCACCATGTTGGCCAGGCTGGTCTCCAACTCCTAACCTCAAGTGATTTGCCCACCTTGGCCTCCCAAAGTGCTGGGATTACAGGCGTGAGCCACTGCACCTGGCCAACTGATCTTGGATTAAGTGGAGTCACCCTCTTCTTATGTAGAGAGGAGAGAAAGGGAACATTCAGATGGCAGGTGGAGTGTGCAATAGTTCATATATCGCGGCTGCATCTCTCTGTAAATTACAACTCAAGTCATTTTCTGAAGTTGAAGAAGTAGAGACAATAGTGTTCGCTGAAAATTGAGAGGTTTTTAAGTCCTGCAGAGGGCAAGTTACATAAGTCAGCTGATCATAAGAGCACAAACTTATAGCAGTATCAGTGAATTGCTGGCATCTTGGAGCAACCCAGATGCAGGCGTGGAGAAGTACACTGTTCTGTTCATCTAGGGTTCAGCATTTTCCACAACAAAATGTACCTCAAAGACAAATAGGCAAAGGAGTTTAGGGTACTGTCATGTGAGTCATCAGAATGACAAGCAGGAACGTGAGCTGCGTGGAGCTGCTGGACAGGGAGACTGGAAAGGCTTATATGGTCAGAGACAGGAGGTGGGGACGCAGCCTCAGGAACGGTGTTGTTCTCATTCTTGTAACAGCCTTTTCAGACAGCCTTTCCTTTCCCAACAGACGGTCGTGTTTTCTGTGCACAGCACAACCACACAGAGGCTGAGTCCTTCAGGCTCCCGTCAAGGCCCCACTGAGAGGGCAGCCCCGGGAGCTAGCCGGAGTCACTGCACCTGGCCTCCCAGGTTGGTCATCACAGGCTTCCGAGCAGGCACGGCGGGAAGGTAGGCGACAGGCGGCCCAGGAGGCAGGTCTGGGCCAGACAGGGCCAGACAGGGCCACTGGGACTGCAAACCACACTGTCATTTTCTGTAAGGTCTGAATAGGAGATGCAGAAAAAAAGAAAGATATCAGACGTGGAACTGAAAGGCCACGAGGCTGAGGGTGCATAAGAACGCAAACACGCAGGAAACACAGTGGGCTGTGCAGGGAGAACCAGAGTGGGCATAGGGAGGCAGTGGGGGAAACACAACAGGCTGTGCAGGGAGAGCCGGGCGGGGGTGTTTGGGGGGAGTGGGGGAAACACGGCGGGCTGTGCAGAGTGTGGGGGGCGCAGACAGGCGGGAGTGGGGGAAGCTCGGCCGCAGCAGAGGCGGCCTGGTGGGGCATCGCACACCTGGCCACAGAGTCCTCCCAGTGCCACATGCTGGGGTCCACACACTGGGAGGGTCCTGTTGCTGAGCTCCAGGAACCTCAGAGCTCCTTGCTGAGATTCCCACTTTTCTTGGTTCCATGAGAATTCTATAAATAAAACTATTGTTTTCTTTGAGGTTACCTAAATGGTAATTCTTTTTAAATTCTCTTTAAAAAGAATACAGCTAGATGGTGTTTCTACGTGCTCCCTGGCACACAGCATGCCCTGTGTGCATGTACCCTGCTATGATTTGGAGGTGTCCTTCAAATCTCATGTTGAAACATGATCCACAGTTTTGGAGGTGGGGCCAGGTGGGAGGTATTGGGTCATGGGGTTGCTGGAGGATCCCCCATGAAAGGCGTAACACCTTCCCCTTGGTGATGAATGAGCTCTTGCTCAGTTAGTTCACACAGAACCTTGCTGTTTAAAAATCCGGGCGCGGTGTGGGGGCTCACAGCTGTAACCCTAACACCTTGGGGGACTGAGGCGGGCAGATCACCTGAGCTCAGGAGTTCGAGAACAGCCTGGGCAACATAGCGAGACCCTGACTCTACCCAAAAATACCAGGCGTGGTGACGTGCGACTGTGATCCTAGCTACTTGGGATTCTGAGGCAGGAGGATTGCCTGAGCCTGGGAGGTGGAGGTTGCAAAGAAAAAAGAAACTTGACCCCCCAACTTCCCCTCTTAGTCGGCTCTCACCATGTGACTCGCTGGCTCTCTGTCACCTTCCACCATGACTGGAAGCTTCCTGAGGCCTCCCCAGAAGCCAAGCAGATGCCAGCACCATGCTTCCTGCACAGCCTGCAGAACCCTGAGCCAATGACACCTCTTTTCTCTATAAATTATCCAGACTCAGGCACTTCTTTATAGCAATGCGGTAGACTGATGCACTCCCTCTCTGCAGCTGGGCCCCCAGACCAGGCCAGGGAGGGCTGTGCTGGTGCTTCCTGTTGCACCCAAGTCCCTGTTGGTGTGAGATTTCGTGCTCCAGGAAGATGTAGAGAAATAGACACCCTGTGTCCACACAGGCTTTCAGCAAACTCTGGCGCTGTGGCGTGGGAGAAATCTTTGTAGGAAAGGTCCCGTCTGTGGCAGCTTCAGTGACTCCCGCCACCACCACAGCCCCACATTTTCCCGGATCTCTTCTCAAAAGACAGCACCTTCAGAAAATGACTTATGTTCAGAGATTAACTCATGAACTGTCCAGATGCCACACATGGATATTTGATATTTTAGCATGAGATCAAGGCTGTTTAATAACGGGTTATTGCCTTGGAGTGACCTAAGTACATGTGGATGATGGGCATGAAAGTGCCAAATACAGTGTCTGATGTTTACATATATGTGAGTCTGAATTCTGGCTAGGAAAAACTAATACATCTCCTGTACTCTAACAGGGAAGCCTCATTGGTGCCATGCTAAATTTTGGTCCTATGGCACCTGAAAATGTGTGCCTGGGCATCCGTTACTCTTTCATTAATTGAAGCCAAGAAACGCCACTGTCAGGGCTGTGCCACAGCAGCAGAGACCACAGCAAACACCCCAACGTGGGGCCCACAGAGCTATCAGCTTTTCACTTTTGTGGTTTTACTAGGTAGAAACAGTGTAGGCTGCTTGACCTTTTATTTTATTCTGAGGCAAGACTTTCTAGGTCCCTAGAGAGAGGAGCATTATCTACGCAAAAAGTCAAACAGAATTCAAGCAGGCGGGCAAGACCGGTCCTTCGAAATGCTGATTCATCCACAGGCAGCACCACCTTCCTGTTTAGAAGGGTGGAGGGTGATGGCCAAGGCCGGCCAGATCAGGCCACTGCATTGTGGGCTTTCTCTCACTCGCTGGGAGGCCGGGGGCTCAAGGTCAAGGTCAAGGCAGAGGTCAGGGAGCGGCCGTGCCCGTTCCATCGCACTGCCTTTCAATCTCCCTGGTCGGTGGATAGAGATCTTCAGCTCTGAGCCCCACCGGTCTCTTCACTGCACAATCAACTGACAAGCACAAGTAATTTCCTGCTGTGATCCCTTCAGCGATATCCTGAAAAGAGAAGAAAATAAAAAGGGGGGAAAACTGCAGCAAACCAAAATATCCCTTAAGTGCACTGCCTAGAAAGAGGGAAGAGATTTTAGTTAACACATGTTAAATGCTTGCAGCTACCATTCCTTTCAAATTGGAAATTATTTATTTATTCTTTCTAATTCTCTAAAGCATTTGCTCCCCCAAATTGCACACGTGTGACCTATTACCTCTTTTCTGCTTTACTTTTATTGCTCAGAGCAGAAAAATGAATGCATGTTTTCCCTTTTTATTCAACTCAGAAATCTCTAGCCATTTAATATTGACTGACAAATTAATGAATGAAACTGGATAAATGAGTAACAGGCCGTTCTCTGTAATGGAGCTTTGAGCTTAGACTATGTGTTGAGCCACCCATTTTTTTTTCCCATTAAGTTGTACTTTCAGCTGGGATTTTGAGAGTGTGACATCAGAAGAAACAGTAGCTTATTTCTGTTTTTTCACCTTCCCCTTGTTACCATGGGCATTTGGTAGCAGGGAATGAGGTGGCCTCCATATTTAAATTGTGGGTTTATCTAGAAAGCATGAACAACACCAGAGACTATTTTTTTTATGTTGCCTCTGATTTTCCCTAACCTTATTGTGTAAGGTGCCACCTTCAAGAAAATTTCAACCCCGGTGGTAGCACGAGTTTTTCTGAGTGTGTTGTAGAAAGCGTGCAGTGCAGCTCTGCGTGTTCTTCGGTGACACAATGAAGTAGGTACCTTATCCTTATTTAGTGACAATTAAACTGAGGCTTAGAGAGTTTAGGAGAAGTGCTCAACAGCACACTAATTTTGATTCTAGTCCTCTACAGATATTTAGTTCGTGTCTGATTTCATCACGTTCTAACTTCGCATGGTGAGTGTCCTTGCAGTCAGCCCTCACCCTGAAGTATGGGGTCCTGTAAGGCCAGTTTAACAAGAGACACTGCGGCACCTTACCCCCAACTACAGCCACCGAAAACCTAAGACAACGAGAACATGAAATAAATACATCATCATGGGGGATTTTCATGCCATGGGCATGGAAAATGAGGGTGATTCCTATAACCTGCGGCTTTTCGGTAATTTACAAAACCACCACCACCACCACCACTCTCTGCAGACTGTGTTTATTTGCTGTTTTCTCTTGTTTGCTGTAGGATATCTATGTGTTTGAAGCCTCTGAAATCAATTTTTGCATACAGAAGAAAACAAAAACAGCCACCCTGTACTGCACAACTAGTTGGGACATCCTAGGTATGAATAATAACAACGGCAAAGCCCACTGAAACCACAGGGAATGAGAGGAGAAGTGAGAGGCCAGGACTCATGTGCTGGACAAAACCAAGGGTTACACAAGATGAGGGAATCCACTGAGTCAAGTCTACACTACCCAATCCCCTAAAATGCTTTCAGAAATTAGGGCAATTCAGAGAGACAATAAAGACTTTGTGAAAAAAATATCTGTGGCCTAAGTTTGGTAACTCCCAGGAAACTCCCAGGAAACTCCCAGGAAACTCTAGAAGGAAAAAAAATATGTAGAACATAAAAAATGTCCAGGCTGAGGTGCTTGAAGGATTAGAGACATTTCATCAATTAACACAATAATGAATTTTTATTTTTATGGACCATAAGATCTCATTTTTTTAACCATAATTTAAAAAACTACCATAAAAATGATAATACCATTTAAGAATATATACATATCTCAGAAAATCAAGCCATTATTGTCTGTGGGTTTTAGAAAAAAATACAATTGGTCTTATTTTTTATCTGATAATCACCTCTTTCCACAAGGCATGACTCAATGCAATATCCACGATACAGCGCAGATCTTATGGCCACTTGCTTGAAAGAAAACTAGAATATAATTATAAAAAAGCTAGAGTTGATGTCAAAATTCTATTTTAGTTTGCAGAAAATTTAGAATTTTAAGCCTCTTTCTACATAGAATATATTGAGTGGTTCTTTGAATTAGAATACTCAATTCAGTTAATCAGTTTGCAGAAATTAAGGGGTGAGCGTGTGTGCCCCAGAGGACCACTCACCCGCAACAGGCAAGGAAGCTAATGCCTGAATTATTTGTAAGTCCTTGAGGCCAAACAGCCTACAGGTGGAATTTGAACCAGAGTTCCTGGCTCCCAGTTCAGAGAAATGTTGCCCACCCACCTGCCATTGGTTTAAAAGTGATTTGATGTGCTGGTTGTCTGCACTGGATCATTTTCTCGTTTACATGGAGATGGAGGCAGATATTGGTCAGATATTTTTGGGGTGGAGAAGGACACTTTGATTGCTAATTAGAGAATCGGATTCTACTGCACAAATTAGCAACAAAGAAGGAAAAGTGGCCTAAGAATTCAGCTCTGAAAACAGAATTGAAATGTGGTCAAACAGCAGAGGGTTTTTTTTGTTTTGTTTTGGTTGTTTGTTTTTAATGAGTCCACTCTGATCTCCCGAATCTAACTGTGTACCTTCTATTTTTGCCTTCATAAACGAGTCAACAATCTTCCCTTGTTTCTGACTAAACCAGATCCTTGACTGACAGTTTCTAAAGAACTTGAAAAGTTCCTTTGTTGAAACCATGTTGGGGGGTTGTGAATATGAATAAAGAAATTGCACAGAAGTAAAAATAGGGTCATTGATATTTCTCAGGAGGGCAGGGTGGTATTTCTGCCAATGGTCCCTGATTAGCGGGCTTCATTGTTACGCGTTTATTAACTCAGATGAAATCAATATATTCACCAAGACCCCAGGGTTTTCTTGGACATTGTTCCTCGAAGCACTATTGTGTTTATATCAGGACAAAGTGGGGCATCTTCTAATGTAACATTCAGCCATGATGGATCAAATTACCTTTTATTTAAGAAAAATCAAAATTCCCCTTTTGGACATTTAGTGAATGACAGGCTTGACCTTTCCCGGTTTGTTTTCGAGTTCATTGTACTCAGGACCCTGCTGGCAATGGAAAATATATTTCCTTTTTCCTCTCACAACCTAATCTGACCTCCCTAGGATGAAATTGAGACAATACAAGTTCAGAAGGCTTCTGTTGTGCAATCCAGAATTCAGAATCTGTCCTGAACCATACTCATGGGTATGATATCTCATGGAAATTTGTCTTATTATTTGCACCTGAACTTTATCATTCGCATTAAAATTATCATCATGCAAAATTTTCATCATCAAATCATTAAAAACATCAAATGTGTTACAATTGTAATTTTTAGAGTGAGATGAAATGCCTGCTACTTTCATTTTGTTTCTGTTGGCTTTTTACCTTAAAAGACTTACTTTTATAGCGCTTTGACTGGCTTGTCATAGTATTACACAGAAGTATGGAAACTCTTTGATACGTACTTCGCCTCTTGGTTTTAACATGCATTTGTTTTTACTGAGACTCTAATTTTACACAAGCTTTACTGTGCTCTTCCTCCTCACTCACACACAATTATTTTTCCCACTAAACTTCCAGCAGGTGTCATTGAGACACAAATTTGTTGGAGCTGTTTCCCCACAGAATACCTTTTTGGGGCTTGATTATAGAGAGACTCTTACAAAAAGATTTTGATGGAAAAAAATACTGAGGACATTATCATTTTGCATATGAATTGGGGATAGTATGCAATAATATATATTTTCAATCTTGGAATGAGCTGTAATCAACACAGTATGTACTTCCTTTCAGCTAGGCAATGTGTGACAGTTTCTTATGTAAATTTGTTGACACTATAAATGGTAAATGTCAACAAATTCCAAATAAAGTCAGCTGAGTAAGCTAGTGTAAGCAATGCAGCGCACACAAATCAAAAGGTTGTTATTGCAAGGTTGTGGATATTGACTCACAAACATGCACCTGCTCTTGATATGCCAATGGTAGGCAGCAGGGTGGGGCATGTCATCTCCCCAGTTTATCCTAATACTCAAGCCTGGAGAAGCTATTTGAGGTCACATAAGTCAACTTCTAATTTTACAGATGAAGACAAAGATTCTGAATGGGATTGTGACTTAGCTCAGGCTTGACTCATTAGAAATGGGTCTGGAGCCAGAAACAGCTCTAATGATTCCGAATTCCATGTTTGTTCCAAAGCTCCAACATACTCTTGGTGTGAAAATATAAAAATTAACAATGTAAGAAAGCAAAGTATAAAAACATCATGTGTAATACTAAAAATTGCTTTAACATATGGCAAATTTGTTCATTTTTAGACGACATTTGCGTTAACGTGGATGAGATTTATTTTGTGCAGTTTCCAAGTTGCAATTTTTATTTGAACCAAAATAAAAAACTATCAGAAGAGATTTGCCAGCCCCTTTGGGGAAGGCTGAGGTGAACAGAGCACACAGGCATGTGGAAACAGCATTCCAAAGGCCTTACAAATGGTAACAGGAATGAATAAAATCTAGAGATATTGATAGAACTCAGTGTTTTAAAAAATTATACCTGAAGTAACATTTCCTTACAAAGCTCTAACTTGGTAAAATAAGGTGTTCAATGTCCATACACATGGATAGAATCATGCTTTGTAGGCATAGCAAATCAAATTTTCAAATATCATTTTTCTCAGAGTCCCAAGAGACGATGCAGCTTCAGCCTGATTCTCTTGGGACACTTGGCTATGGACACCTAACCACCATGCTGGAAGGAAGCTCAAGCTTCCCTGAGCAGAAGTTCATGTGGGAAGGAACTGACAGGCAGCACCACCGTGTATCTTAGGGATGGATCTTCCAGCTCCAGTTGAGTAACCACAGGAAGCAGAGATGAACCCTTCCTACAGAGCTCTGTCCACTCTGATTTTAGAGTCATTGGTGAATATACTTTATGTTCCTAAGCCCTGTTTCCATGGTTGGAATACCAAGTATTAGGAATATAAATAATTTAATAATTTAAATAATTTTCATATTAAAATTTTTTATAAAATGATAGAAAATATATATATTCTTTTTAAACATAAAATTTACTTCAGAAACAACTGGAAAAAAAGAGGAAAAAATTCATACATTTGCAAATTTTGTATTTTTTCCCACCTGTCAATAGCACTAATCATTACTTGTTTTTAACAGTCAGTATACCTATATAGATCCATTTGTAGAGAGAAAAAATGTATATTATGATCCCAAAATTTTGCATGATGAATAACTGAATTCTAATTAAGAGTTAAAGTATAATTACAATTTGAACCAATCAATAATTTAGGGTTATTTAATGTTACTAGTTAGTTTGTGCAATCTAATCAACTTCCATATTTTTATGGACTTACTCCTGAAACCATTTCTGTGATTTACGAATTCTAGAGAGAAAGTTTCCATCTCATAAGACTGTTTCAGCCCATCATGACTGTATTCATAATTCCATGTGGTCTCTCTGTCTGGACTCTTCTTAGGGTTATGATCCCAGTAGTTTGCTACTTGTTGCAAATGTAAATATTTTATGTCCTTTACTTTTAGAAACAACAAAGAGTTCTTCAAATGCAACAGTCTGGCCCGTCCTAAAGACACAGGAGAATGTGAGGAAACCACAGTTATTGCGCAGTCCTGCTCCTGTGCTCAGTGGATTGGGAAAAAGAAGAAGAAGAGTAAAGTCTGTGTTGACTTGTTTCTGGTCATTTTTATTTACCACCCAATTCCTACGTGAATTGGGTTATGCCATTTGTAATGCAAATCAAATATTACGTTCGTTCATGATTTATATGATACTAAATAAAATGAAAATTAGGCATGTAGCATTCCCAAATTCACCCATTCAATAAATATTTATTAAGCACTACTTTTATCAGGCATGTCTCTGATCATCAAGGGTGTCATCCTGTTTTGTGTGTTTGTTTTTTCAGAAACTGGGTCTTGCTCTGTTGCTCAGGCCGGTCTCAAACTCCTGGGCTCAAGTGATCCTCCTGTTTCTGCCTCCTGAGTAGTTGGGACTACAGGTGCACATCATCATGCCCAGCTCATAAGGATACCATCTTGAAGAAGGCTGTGAGGTTCCTGCTTTCATGGAACTTACACTGTAGTGATTTTGTTGGGATGAGTTTTAGCCTTTAGAATTCATGCACAGCAAAGGGATGTTATCCTTGAAGAAGAGTTCTAGAATTCGCTCCATTGCCAATTTTCTTCTAATTAATACAAATCTCTCATGAACCGAATTTATCATTTCTTCAATTCCCTCATGTACCAGGGTGGTAGGTTTAATAAAAATAATTACTGTTAATATAGTTTAAGGTTTTCAGATAAGGTCTTCAGATAAGGCTTTCAGGTTTTTCTATCTGACTTTGAGATTCCCTATCTGCTAATTTGCATGAGAGTTTTAAAATAATAAACTCTGAAAATTCATCTTGCAAATAGGAACTATGGGTAATAGGTTTATGAATACAACAACAAATATTTTTAATTGAAGTATTAATTAAAAAGGGCACAACAATGGCAAATATTAGAAATACATGTAGTTTTCCATTTAACTTAGACTCTACGTACTTGCCTTCAATGGTGGTTTATAACTTTCCTTATTGCCTATGAATTAAATGATTTAAACATGGTATCCTTCTTTTCTTTCAAGTTTATGCACTTAGTTAAGCAAGTACCTATGAATATTATAATTCTATTGTCCTGACTTTTTCCATGGTTTTGCACTAGCATGAAGTGTCTCATTTGTACCTAGGAAACATTTGGGAAATATTTCATTCTCTATCAGGACCCCATGGGGTTTTTAGATTCAAGTTCTCTTGGACGCTTACTCAATTAGCTTGGCAGGTAACATCTCCGATTTCAGGGTTAGAGAAAGGTGAGCACTGGGACGCTTTTAGCATGGGATGGAGCAGGAGGGGACATTCCATATCCTCTATACCTGCCCGACTTGGACTGAAATACATAATAATGAGGACTATATCGTACTCATTAATCCACCTTTCCTCCCCATCTCTTGACATTATTTAACAGCATTTAAAATGATCCAAGCTATTAATATGTTATCCAGGGCTATTTCGAAGATTATGTGCAGAGGGATAGTTCAACAACTCATTGAAAAAGATATATTGTAATTTCCCTACCCACACCTCACTCAAAATGGCTCATGCCCTCACCCCCTTAAAAACTGGGGGGACGGAAAGATTCAGATTCACTGGTAGGATACCAAGTGAAAGCCAGAGAAAGAAAGATGGTTTCCTTAATCATCTCTGACTTTAAAAAGAAATAAATGTTAGTGGTTAAATTTTTTTTTAATTAAATTATATATCTGAGCCAGAAGGAGTTGTGATTATTTTTAAGTAATCATTAACAACTGGTAGGGATCAATAGGTTTAGATGACTATAAGCCTTGGTCCATAAATTAGATACATGCTCCTCTACAGTAAGCTTCAATTAGAAATATAACCTTCCCAGAGAAGAAGGTAGGGAGATCAAGAAAGCCAAATGGATTTCAATTTCTAGACTGGCTGAATTTCACTCTCTTTTCTCAACAGTCACACACATGTAAGCAGAATGCTTTAGGACAGCATGCTTCTCTTAGGGAAGAGAAAAGCTCATTTTCTCCACTCTAGGGGAAGCAACATTTTAAAAAATGTTTAAAAAAGGTACAATATGCAACATCTCACCAGGGAATAAGATGAATCTCACTAGGGCAGGCCCAGGCGCCACCTGTGGCAGAGCTACTCAAAGCCTAGACACCCCTAATTCCTACATGTAGTGCCCTTTGACAGTGCTGAATGTTTTCAGGTCTACACACCCCTAATTCTATGTGCAGTGCACACTGACCGTGCTGAATGTTTTCAGGTGTAGACACCCCTAATTCCTACGTGCAGTGCACTTTGATGGTGCTGAATGTCTTCAGGTCTAGACACCCCTAATTCTATGTGCAGTGCACGTTGACCGTGCTGAATGTCAGGTCTAGACACCCCTAATTCTAGGTGCAGTGCACGTTGACCATGCTGAATGTCAGGTCTAGACACCACTAATTCTATGTGCAGTGCACGTTGACCGTGCTGAATGTCTTCAGGTCTAGACACCCCTAATTCTATGTGCAGTGCACGTTGACCATGCTGAATGTCTTCAGGCCTAGACACCCCTAATTCTATGTGCAGTGCACGTTGACCGTGCTGAATGTCTTCAGGCCTAGACACCCCTAATTCTATGTGCAGTGCACGTTGACCGTGCTGAATGTCTTCAGGCCTAGACACCCCTAATTCTATGTGCAGTGTACGTTGACGGTGCTGAATGTCTTCAGGCCTAGACACCCCTAATCCTATGTGCAGTGCATGTTGACGGTGCTGAATGTCTTCAGGTGCGTGTCAGTTTGACTGAAATTTGGATTCAATAATTACTAGAATACACAATTATGAAAAGAAAATATATGTATTTAAATATATACCTTAATGTTTACATAATACTTAATATACCCTCTATCCATATACTGGGAATGATTGTTTAAAATGTTATATCTGATTTAGTTGGAAATCTAACACTTAGACAAAATTTGCAATGGATATTTTTCTTGTAACTCTTGCCAAGGGTGATATTGCATTAGCAAATTAACGGTTATATAAAAGATATGTATAATTATTACTATTTCTCTTAGTGAGTAAAGAGAAAATAATATTATTTATATCTAAGCATATATATGAAAAAGCAACTAATTTATTACATTAAGATAATTAATGTAGATAGAATACATTAGTGATCTTCATGTAAAACTAAGTAAATATTTTAATTTATAATTCAAATGTTTATGCATTTGTCATATTATATACCTACTATGTGCTTACTGTTTCCTGCCTCGAGTCTAGGTTTAAATAAATCACCCTGGTTCTTCTGAATTCCCCAGTAAAAACGTACAGATTTTATAAAGAACTGTGGACTTATGGCTTTAACACTTAGACTCACTCTCCCAAACTCTTTAGGAAGTATAAATCAGTCTAAACCTAATACAGGTGCTTTTCTGCTACTGTCTAAAGCTACAGTATTTACCACTTACCAAATTTAAAGAAAACTCATTCTCTCCCCCTTGAAATTGCTCTAGTCATTATTGTCTTATTCCTCATTCCCTGGCTGAACTGGATCTCATAAATTAGTGTGAGTGTGTTACCTTTCTTTGTGTTTGCTCTTCCATCTTGTCTAAGAGAACTGGTTCAACAGAACCTGAATTCATTAGTTTATCCATTTTATGGCCATTTAGGTAGAACAATGACATTATTCCTTGCAGCAGCAACATAATATTTCAGTTTCTTGTGACTACACCCCTACTTATTTTCAGTCATTGTGGCAGCTATTTTTAACAAACCAAAATAGCACACATGGATGAACATTTATGGACAGAATGGTTGCATTTGCATCATTGCATTCTGGTTTTCATTAAATCACATGTGACACAGCTATGTTAACCAGCCTTAAACACAGACGCACAAGGTGCCTGGGCAGTTGCTTTGAGATTTACATTAGAAAATGGCTACTGTATCTAAGTAAAATCTCAGAGTGTGCCAATACACCTTGTGTTATTTTTCAGATTGTAACTTACAAATGCACATGTATGAACCTATATTTGAACACTGGAGCTCCTTATGCGCTCAGGTGCGGTGCCGCCAGCCTGCCTCGGGCCGGCAGCCTGCTGTCGGTAGGTGGCTGTCACCGGGTCTGATTAATGACCCCACTGAAACATGTCCAGCCACATTAGAGCTCCATGTATCTACCACAGTCCACATGGACCAAGCTTTGTTCTGAGAGGAAATGGTGTCAGCCGCCACTGGCGTTTACCCATAAAAAGATAAAGATTTACTGTCATCATAGGCGAGATTAAAGTGCACAATGCTGACATTGATTTTTACCAAAAATTCACATTTTGGGAAAACTCATTCCAGGGACGACTGAGATATGATCAGCTTATTTGGAGAGGGATAATATGGAATCTTCTCTCGAATGAACTTTGAAAGAAGTAAATTGTAAATATTGATTTCTGAAATGAACTGTCAATCTCAGTTGGTAAGATTATTCCTATCATCTTGTTGCGACGATGAATTCAAAACTGCTGACAAAGTGGAGTGTATAGGATTTCTGTTAAGAGCAGTCAAGGGGCTTTACTCAGCAGAGCCTAGTAACAGTTGTTCAATTTTATCAGATAACAGCTGAGATCTCATCAGGAGTGAAAAATGAAATGAACTGTGACTCTGAATCAGGATCTCGACTCTTATCCCAGACAAAAATCATCAAACAGCAGCCAAGGGTTTTATATTATTTCGGGCCACTTCATTACTGGCTAGCACAGGAGTTGAATTGCTGTGAGCAGGGCTGCCTTTCCCGTCTCACCCCAGGGTCAAGTCTGAGGGGCGGCTTGATAGGCTCCCAACATGTTAAGGGGTTATCCTATTACCACTTAAGAGGTATATTGAAAGATAGCAAATCTCGACCACTTGCTATCCTGCTCGGATTTTTTTTTTATTGTACATGGGTTATCCATTATTACTTGTTGTAGAATAAATATAATTCATCTTTTCCAGTAAATGTTAGAATTGGACGTATCTAATTCATCCGTTCCTCCTATCAAAAAAGGACAATGAAGGTTTATTGAAGGGAGCCCATAGTTACACGCGAATGGTTTCTTTTTATGGCTCATAGGAAAAATAAATGGCAATAAAAGTTTCTTTGAGACTGAATCACAAATATGACACTGATGAATTAGATCAGGCCTCTCTGAGAGCATTGCACCTTGGGTTTTGAAAGGATTCTTATATCCTAAATCTATTTGAAAATGCATTGTGCAGTTTGACCAGGAACCACCTTCAGTATTATCAGGCTGATATCTAGAGTTATTCCTTCCAGAGCCACTACCTTAAGGAACAGTAGCTTCTGGGTCCCTTACCCCCGTAAATCAGCAAGTGACAGCTTATGCCACCTCACTGCAGACCAGTGAGTAACACAGCCCTCGGCCGCTCTCTTCCTATAGCTTGTTTCTGTCTTCATAAGAAATGTGGGAACGATTTAAGAGGAGGTGAAAAAATTAAAAGGACTGCATTTTGTAATCAGTATTTACTAAGAAACAGTGTCATCATGAGCACGCAAAACTAAATAACATAGTTTAAAAATGCATGCATTAGCTATAAAACTGCTTTAAAAAGGAAAAAGGTAAATGCAAGGGAATGAAAGTTGCTAGCATCAGGGTAGAAACTGCCTTGAGGTGGGCTAGGGTGAAGGGATGGGATGAGGAAAGTGCATGCAAACATGGAAGTTATGGCTATCACTTGGTTCTTGAATTGACATTAGACTTGTAATTCTTCCTTACATTAATATGCACTATAGTCGCATTGTTTCACATGCTAATTTTCATGTAACGAATATGTATAAAGCAATAGAAATAACAATGAAGATTCTGCAGTTGTTTTAATGTTCTTTAGTGTTTTAATACTACGCTTCAACTCTAAACTTAATCTGGCTAATAAAAATAGCATCTATGGCATACCAACAAATGATAATTTTACCTGAGTAGGCTTTTTTGGATTTAGTTTTTGGATTATTTTTCTTCATCAGAGAATATATACAGTGAAAATTTGATATTGGGTCAAACTTTAAATGAAACTTGCATTTCTTAAATTTTAATTTAATCATAGTGAGCTGTTTTCCAATGGTCTCCAAACGATTCAGATAGAACTCACTCATCAAGTGAGGGGATCCTGAAGCCCAGTGAGATTGTGCAAGAAAAACACTAGGTTGTGGAGGCCACCATGACGCAAAAAATGAAGTAGAAACAAGAAACAGAGACAAAAAAACAAGAAACAAGAAAAACCAGAGTCATCATGCAATGAGCTAAGCCAAGGTCCAAACAGAGGTTACACAGAGCTGGAGAGACAACACTTGATTTCCCCAAATCACTGTACAGTAAATGCAAAGAGAGAGTCAACCTTTCCAGAATGGTATAGTGCATGTCTGGCCTATGTAGTAGAAAATTCAGATGGCAAATACTTTCTAGGATTCTTCCCTTCTGAAAATAGGCCAAGTGTTGGCACGGAAGCTGAAGGGAATTCTGGCAGAGGTAAAGGGGAACCTGTGAGGTTCAGAATTAGGGCTCCACCACCATCCTAAGAGCCTGTGCTCTCTCAGCATATGGAAATCTTCATGTAACCACAACAGCATAGGGACTAGAGATCTAGCCAGGTGACACTCAAAATGCGAACTCAGGAGTAAACATATAATGAAGCAACTATGTGTCACACACACAAGATTTTCTGATTTGTCTTTAATAATGCCTCATTATTTTTCAATATAAGATTGATTTTTAGGAAATAGAGACCCAGATACTTTTGGTGAACTTATGCAAGCTATCTGGCAGAATCAGATTTTATAGAAAATGAAATATACTAAAGGTGCAGAGATTTGGCAGTGCTCAGACTAGACAGGTTTTCACTAGATGTGTTACCCAGGACTCAAGTACAATTAGAGATGATTCCATATTTTTTGTTCACCATTTCCCAATCACAACAGATATTGTGGCTTTGCTTGATATGTTGGATAGATACAGATACAGAAATAGAGATATAGAAAGATGTAGATACAGGTAAGGATAGATAAATAGATGATAAGTAGATAGATAGATATGGTTCAGGTATAAAACTAGAGACAGAGAGGTAGATAAGGATACATAGAGATAGGGATGTGTATGGAGAGATACAAATAGGTATAGATAGAGTATAGATAGAGATAGAGAGGTATAGATATATGTATCCCTGCAGATTCCCCATCAGGAATTTGAGAATTATTTCAATTCTAAGCTTATGTGAATCTCCCCTACAGACTGTATATGATAAACTGTGTCTCCTACATAAAGGAAAAGAGATTGGCGAATCAACCAACTTCTTGCCCAATAAAGCTAATTCTAAGAAATTAACAGCAAGTGTATGGTGTGTTTGTATTCATAGAAAGATATGAGATGGGGGAGGAGAGAATGAGAGAGAGAGCTAGAGAGAAAACAGCTAGAATATATGGGTAGATGGATGTATTGACATTAGATAGATGAATAGATGGATGAATTGGGGATAGTTTTATTTCAGACAAACTAAAGTACTAATGATTTCATGAACAGACCACACTCTTCCATTCATCCATTCCTTTTTATGTCAGAAATATTCTGTCTGCTTTAAGTTCTGCTTAGTTCATCCAGGAACTCAGCTTTCAAGATTTTGTCTAACTGCCACTTGCTCTCAGAAGACCTTGTCCCTGCGTGCTCCTTGGCCACATCGAATGCCCTCTGTTCTGTGATCTCTTTTATAACATGTGTCCACAACACTGCAACTGTCAGTCATATCTGTCTTTCACTAATCTGGAAGCAACCCAGGAGAACAGGCTCTTTCTTATTCATCCACCCGGTATTTGAAGGCAGAAGGGGAACAAAAATATTTATGAAAAGAAGTGGTGGAAAAGGGAAGGAAGTAAAATCCATCTAGAACTTGATAGCACATAAAAACAAACATTTTACTTTTGTCATCTTTCTTTTTAGTTTTGCCTATATAGATTTATCAAATATTCACCAAAGTAGCACAATTAAATGCTGTTGTTTATATATTTATCAATCTATGTCATTTTAATGTCTGTCTGTAGTCTACATGGTATTTGATTGAATCTTATTTCCCAACCTTTGAATACATAGAATATTTCAAAAAATCAAGGAAATTATTTATTACCTAGAACTTTTCATTGTATTGAACAATTTCTTTAGGAAAAAGGCTCTAGAATTCTAGGAGTTAGAGTGTTGCAATAAAGACTACTTGCTGCAGAGTGATTAAGAACATAGACTTTAGACGTACCTAGTGTCTCCATTTACTCATTGTGTGATACTGAATAAGATAGTTAACCAATTGAAACCTCAATCTCCTCACCCTTATAATCAGAAGACTATTAGTACTAACCTCATAAGCTCGTGAAAATTAAATGAGATGATGCATGCAGCTAATTTACACAGTCCCTATGCTTAGAAATTATACAGAAAATGTAGCTATTAATAAGAAAGTACTCGACAGTGGGACTCCACCAGCTGCACCACTGCCAGCCACGACCATGCAAAGCTGCCCATAATTTTGCCAGCATTATGGACTAGAAAGTGACTGCCTTGGAGTGACCTGCTCATGATGTGCCTCCCTGGTCATCGAGGATTGATGGCCCCCAATTTGGTTGACCAAAGAATTACACGACTTCATATAATGAATCAGAACCTCTCAGGGTGCTTCCAGGAATAGACATTTTTCAGCAAATACCTGATATTTCCGAAAATCAAATCAAATCTGGCCTCCTTGCTGCCTAAGCCAGGCACCTCCAATTTTTATTACTTTTTTATTATTTTTATACATTTGCTAAATTTTTATTACACTTTTCAAAACGGCATTTAAACACTGCTATTAACCACCGTAAGCAAATCTCGCCTGTGCTTGGCCTTCAATAATTCAGCAGGTGCTCTTCTGCTCCGTAGCCCCTGAACTCTCAGAGCTGTCCTGTGAGTTCCTCGCTGCCCTCATTTGGCTGGTGAGAACTGAAACCCAGCAGATAACATGACTTTGCCATCACTAAGGTAGAAAATGGCACATTCAAATCCCCTCGCGATGAGGCTTGAGAAGAAAATCGACAAGTGTACCAAAGTCCGTTGTATCGTGGAAATTTGACATTTAATTAACATTAAAAAATGATTTCACACGCATGGGGTCACTTAATATGCCTTTACAACTCACTTTGAAAGGACAATATGCTCATTACAATGAGGACAAAACTATTTGGAAAATAATTTTGTAAGATGGAGATGTTTCCACAACAATGAATGAAAATGTCTATAGCCAGTTGCGTCAGCAATGGGAAGAAGGTGAAGTCTACGGTGACTTCACAGCGTTCATTCTGCTTAAGTGAAATGTACTGTGCACCTGCTGTCCCTCACGTGATTGAAATAATAATTGTTGCCAGGTGTTTCTGACATCTCAGAAACAGTGAGATTGTGGCCATTCCAACCTTCCAACCACCAGCTCATGGGCACTTGGCTCACAGAGTCCTCCCCAGCCTCCCTGGGCTACCTCCTATCCTAAGTTAGGTGCCACTGACACCCTCGGTTTTTATTGCATAATTAGCTTTTTTTTTTTTTTTTTAAACCTTCTCCAAGGCTGGAGTGCATTGGTGCAATCATGGGTCACTGCAGCCTCAACCTCCTAGGCTCAAGGGATCCTCCTGCCTTGGCCTCCCAAGTAGCTAGGACACAGCTGCACCACCATCATGCCCAGCTCATTAAAAAAAAAAAATGTTTTGTAGGGATGGGGTCTCCCTGTGTTGCCCAGGCTGGACACAAACTTTCAATAGAAGCCATTTCTGACTCTATCTTGGGTTCATACAACTTGCCACCTTAGGACACATAAATATTACTTTAGCCTCATGATTACAGCAAACCCATGACTCCTGTTTTTGTCTCTGCGGCTAAATTGCCTTTGACTTTGAAAGGCTTCATGACAAATTTGCAAAACAAACTGGTTTTACCAGACAGGATTGGATGTTCCTCCTAATTCTGACTTTCTGTGAATCCTGAAGTCATTCCTAAACAGAATCTTCATTCTAATTTTATTTTTAAAAAGGTAGCAAGCAAATCCTAGCAGCAACACTAGAAATGTCTTTTGAAAACATCTTGTCTGTGGTATCTTTAGAGAGAATGTAGGCAGCCAAACTCCCTTCACAGTCAACACTGCGCTTCTGGGGGATGAGAAACGCTGTTCAGAATGAAGTCCCTGAAGCCCCACAACCTTCTCCGGCTCCACAACCCGACTGGATGTTTTTACTTGATTGTATTTACTAAAGCAGGCAAGTGAGGTACACAGTTTAGAACAATCTCCCACACTGAGGATTGAAACTTAAGAAGGCTTTCAGCCAACTCAATTGACTGGAAAAAAATCTATTGCCAAATACACCCAATATCTCCAGCATTTTGGTTTAGCGATGCTTTATTGTGTTTGCTCATTCATTTATTTATTTATGAATTCATTTTTATTATCGAATTTTATGGTCTCAATTTCTCTGCTCTCGTTTATTAATCCCTCCATTCTTTTTTGTAAATCACGGTGCTTACGTGCTGACAAAGCACTTGCTTTCTTGCCTAATTTTATAAACTGTTCAGCCGTGCCCTTATCCACTGTTTTCTTTTAATTATGTATTCTTGTTAACCTCCATACGCATTCAAAGTTACAGATTGCCGTTGACACAGTATTAATTAAAGCATATAATTTATGACATTGGAGCATGAAATTAATAAGTGACAATACAATTACATGGTTTGCCTAATTGTCCTTCAGTAATATAAAGATTGACATTTGAAGCAGCATTAGAAGCTGAAAGCACTCATGAACTCACAATAGCTTTGAAAGTAATCACAAGAGAATCTAAAGAAATCATCCCCATTTCCAGGGACAGAATACTGGGCAGTTAAGTGGAGGGCAATTATCTTTTCTCTTTTTATTAACAGTTTGAATCTATGGGGGAAAGTTCGCTTTATTAATTGAAAAGTAGCTTGTATTGTGTTTAATTTGTGTTGCACAAAACTTTGAATAAATTGTGAACAAAGCCCCTCGTCCTTTGGTTGTCTTTAAGTTCATCTTTGTCACTTCTGTGTTACTTGTAATTTCCTTTTCCATGTCATTTTTTGTGTCTTCAGATGGAAGAAATGCTAAATATGTTTTGTTTTGTTTTTTTCTGACTGATCATTTCCAAATCTGGTGATTTGACATAGTGTCAGCATCCATTCAAAGTGCAGTCTTACTTTCTAGACTGCATCCCATGCTATCAAAATAAGTCACGACTTGTATATTCATTCCCTGGTTCAAGGACTGTCTCCATCAAAGACAGCTTTCTCCTAAGTTCTGATGGTCTTCTGAAGGACAACAGCCCCGTCTAAACATCGCATCAACCCAAATGGGTCAGAAAGTGGACTGTTCAGAAAAGCTGATGAATGCAGAGCCCCATGTTACAGCTGGGCCCATTGGAAAGGGCTCCTCACCGCTGAGCTCATAGCGTAAAATACACAATTATTCCTCCAAGTCTGAATCTGGAAATTGAGTAAGAGAGATATAGGTTTCCTAACATTTTGAAAAGTATAACGTATGATAAGAAAAAAAATATTTACGGGTCAACAAATGATGAGCAAATACTTTGCGTTAATATTTATTGTACACAAAGTAAAATATATTCACAAAATACATCAAAACACATGCATATGTAGTGTGTATGTATGTGTCTGTGTCTGTGTGTGCGTCTGCACGTGTGTGTATGTGTGTATGTGTTTCTGTGTGTTTATGCGCTTATGTGTATGTCTGTACTCGTGTGTGTGTGTTTGTGTTTGTACTTGTGTATGAGTCTGTATATATGTGTGTCTATGTGTATCTGTACTTGTACATGTGTCTGTGTAGATGTGTGTGTCTGTGTGTGTTTGTACTTTTGTGTGTATATGTGTGCGTGTTTGTGTGTGTCTGTACTTGTGGATGTCTGTGTGTTTGTGTTTGTACTTGTGTGTGAGTCTGTATATATGCGTGTCTGTGTGTATTTGTACTTGTACACGTGTCTGTGTCTATGTGTGTGTCTGTGTGTTTGTGTGTGTAAATGTGTCTGTGTGCGTTTGTACCTGCATGTGTGTCTCTGTGCCTGCATTTGTCTGTGTGTGCATCTGTGTGTTTGTGTGTATGGAATGTGTGTGCACGCCCTGCGATCTTGAAAAGGTGTGCTGTTTTTGTGTGTGTCTGTGTGTTCCTGTGTGTGTTTGTTTGTATGCAATGTGTGTGCATGCCCTACAATCTTGGAAAGCTGTTCTGTATTTATGTGTGTGCTTGTGTGTGCCTCTGTGTGCTTGAGTGTGTATGATGGGTGTTCACACCCTGTAATCTTGGAAAGGTGTGCTATATTGGCTCTGGGACTCAGAGGTGCGGCACTAATTATAGCAAATATTTTCTTGAACTTTTTAGATTTCCCTAAATACATTCAAGTAAACAATAATAAAGAAGCAGATAATCCTGGCCTGAATTCCGGAACCAGATGGCCCAGGTTCAAATTCTGGTTCCACTGCTTCGGTGTGATCTTAGATAAAACCAAGTGTTAAATGTCCACCAAATAATTACCTAGGGGAAGGCTGGGTTCCACTTGAACTTACAAAGCTTTATCTTCTTTTGCTATCCAAGTTGATTTATGTACATTTACTTTTATTAAATTGGTAATTAAGTCATTAACTACCTTTCTGCAAATATTCAAATAATACATAAGAATGAACAAAAATGAAAATGAAAGTGGCAATTCCACCTCTGAGTATTGAGCCAAGGGAAATGAAAACAAATGTTTAAAAAAAGAATACTATTTGGAAACTAAAAAAAAAAATAAGCCACTGATAACATCCAACAAAATGGATGAATCACAGAAATGTTAGTGTAAGTGAAAGTCCTCATGTAGAAGAAAAATACATACTGTTAGATTCCCTTCACATGAAATTCAATGCAGGCAAAGCTAATCTTTGATGAAAGAAATCCACACAGCATTTGCCTCTGTGAGAAGCAGGTGTCAACTGGGAGAGGCCCAGAGAGAAGTGGGGGCGTCGGTGTGTTCTGGGCCTTGACACCATTCGAGTTCCACAGGTGTCTGAGTTTGCCAAACTCAGCAAAGATGCGCTTCACATTTGTGAATTTGTTGTCTATAAATATTCCCTCCAAAGAAATAGAAAGCCATGAGCATACGATGAATTCTAGTTAATGAGATACTTGCTAGAATGTTTACGAAGAAGCGTAACAATACCTTCAAATGACTTTAAATGCTTCAAAAGTGAGATGGATTGTTGGGTAGATAGGTGTTAAAGCAAACACAGTCAAACGTTAATGTACAATGTAGGTGGTGTGTGTATGGGAGATGACTATGTCTTTTTCAGCTTATTTTGCATTTTTCAAAAAGTAGTACAGAGAGGTATTTGAATAAAAATAGTGAATCTATGAAAATTACCTTTCACCTTTTGACTAGTTTATGGATCTTTTTGATTCCCTATTACACTAAAAAGGAAGGAGTCACATCTTTTTGCAGATGCTTGAGAAGAAAACAAATTATTCAGCTTTTTCAAATTTATTTTTTCTTGTTTAATACACTAATACTATTCATAGATAAAGGACTTTAAAAATAGTTACAAATTTACATTTGATATAATCCCAAGGTTTTCTTTCTCTGCCCAATGTGTATTAAACTGTACAAAGTTTTAGCTATCTTAAACCTCAACCAAAAGCAAAGGTCTCCTGGAAAAGTCTGAAAGTCTCACCTGTATAATGGAAAGTTATTCCATCTTTTCTGTTCTGTTCTATCAGATACCAAAACAATTTTATTGTGTAAGTCAAAATTAGATTTTCCTTTGTTAAACTACACCCCCAATTTTCCAAATTAGTCTGGGTTTCCACAGCTCATCTGGATGAAGGGGGCATCTGATAAGGGGAGAATGGGGGGAAAGACACGAGCAGGTGTTTTCTCCACCTCCTGTGGCAAGGGTCGGGACAGCAGCGTTGCTCAGAGCAGGGCAGTGCCACAGATACTGAGGTTAAATGAAATCAGGTAGTTTAATGAGTACTTGCTTCCTACGATTTCAAACAAAGAAAAGGACAAGCATCAAATAAACAAGATGTGCATGCCTTTTCTTCAAAATCCTTCAAAACACTCTCAGCTTTGCTCCTTTGCCCACAGTAATCATGGAGACTGCACTGTGCTGGGTGAGGCCCAGGGTGGGCTGAAGCTGTGGGGACTGGTGTGCCTTTCAGCTGCTGACGAAGTACAAAGGGTGTGCATGTGTGTGTGTGTGTGTGTGTGTGTACATGTGTGTACCTGTGTGTATGGAAATGCATGGACATGTTTGCACTAGAATAAAAGGAATCCCTACCCTTCTCCTTTATTTTTTCTAACTCATTAAGAAGTTGACACTTCCTAGAGTCTGCAGTACTGTCATGTACCTTTGCAGTAAATTCAATAATATGTCCTCCCTCTCTCCCACATCCTTCAAATCCAAATGAATTGTATTCAACTAATTGAATCCAAAGTAGTTAAAATGAAAACAAACCATACACAAACTTGGCTTTGCATTGTTTGTCTTTTTTGAGTGTTTGATATTGAAATCGGAGTTTAAGGCTGAATCATAATAAAGATGTTTAGATGTTTCTCTTCTTTTTTGGGTTAGTGAAGTGGGTGTTATTATTTTATTAATTGTGTGTTTATTATTTAAGGAATATAGTAAGTGCCTTATTTTGTGTCTGGCTTGTTTTGCTAAACTTGATGTTTGTGAAATTTATTCTTGTCCATGGACCAGTAGTTTCTTCCACTTCATCGGGGTTTATTCTTCTACTTATAAATATATCCAAAGGGAAATTACTATGAAATGCCTATGTGTGGTTTATTCTGTTTGACATTCATAGAACTGTTCGAATGTAGTTTAGTATTCTTTGTCACACTGGTAAAATTATCAGCCACTCTCTCTTCAAACATTGCTTCTATCTCACTCTTCTCATCTTTTTGAGACTCCAATGGCATATTTATTAAATCTTTATACATTGAGTTAAATGATTCTTATGTTTTCTTCCTTGTTTTCTGTATTTTTTATTTCTATGCCTTAATTTTTTATTGTAATATTTGATGTGTAAGGAGATATAAACCCAAACAGAAAAAACACTGTTCCATATAAACTCATTTAAGTTTTCAAAATGTATTTCATCACTTCCAAATTATCCAGAGGTGTCATATCAACTCCTGCATTTCACACATACCCTAGCATATTCATGGAGGCTTATTTTTCTTCTTCTCTTCCTCCATATCCTCCTCCTCCATCTTTTTCTATTTTTATAAAATTAAAATTGACATATAAGTCACATAAAATGCATCCTTGTAAAGTGTATCATTCTGTGGTTTAGCATAGCCACGAGGTTGTAAAACCACCTACTGTCAAATCACAAAGCATTTTCATCATCCTAAAAGGAAATTCCACAATCAGCAATAATACCCAATCCCACCTTCCACCAGCCCCTGGCAACTGCTAATCCACTTTCTGTTTTTATTAATTCACCTTTTCTAGGCATTTCATATGAATGGAATCATGCCATATGTGGCCCCTCATGTCTGTCTGCTTTCACTGAGAATGATATTTCCTGGGTTCATCCGTGTTGCAGCAGGTATCATAAATCATTCTTTTTATGGCTCCATAATATTCCATTGCATGAATGCCAGGTATTGTTTATCCATGCATCCAATAGATTGACATTTGGCTTATTTTTACGAATTGTCTATAAGGTATAAAGTTTGAGTACAAGCTTTTGTACAAAGAGGTTTTTGATTCTTTTGGGTACATATGTAGGAGTGGATTGTGGCATCATATGGAAATTCTACATTAACTTTTTGAGAAACTGCCATGTTGTTTTCCACATTGGCTGAAGCGTTTTATATTCCCGCCAGCTGTACACATGAGGAGCCCAGTTCTTCTGCATTCCCACAAACACTTTAATTTATTTTTGTTTTTATTACAGTTATCATTGTGGATGTGATGTGGTATCTAATCTGTGTTTTAATTTGTATTTCCCTGATGATTAACGTTGTTTAGCATCTTTTTGTGTGTTTATATATTTCCCTTAGAGAAATATCTAAGTTCTTTATTCACATTTTAATTGGGTTATTTGCTTTTTAATTGTTGAGTTGTAAGTGTTCTTTATATATTCCGGATATTAGGCCCTTATCAAATAAATTATTTGCTAGTATTTTTCTCATTCCATATATTGTCTTTCCATGTCCTGGAATGACGGGTCTTTTGATGCACAAGAGGTTTTCAATTCAATGAAGTCTAATTTAGTTATTTTTCCTTTGGTTTCTTGTGCTTGTGGAATCATATATAAGAAACTGTTCCCAAATCCAAGGTCATGTATATTTACACTTGTATTTCCTTCCAAGAGTTTTAAAGTTCTAGCTCTCATGCTTGGGTGTTTGATCCCTTGTAGTGATTTTTTGTATAGGGTGTGAGGTAGGGGGTCCAAGCTCATTCCTTTGCATGTGGATATCTAGTTGTCCCAGTACAATTTGCTGAAATGACAGTCTTTTCTTCATTAAATGGTCTTGGTGCTTTTGTCAAAATTCATATGTTCATAGATGTGAGAATTTATTTCTGTATTCTCCTTTCTATCCCATTAGTCCATGTGTCTGTCTTTATACCAGTACAAAACTGTCTTCATTAATCTAACTTTGTAGTAAGTTTTAAAATCAGGAAGTTGGAGATATCCAAATTTCTTTCTCATTTTCAAGATTGTTTTGGTTATTTGGGGTCCCTTGCATTTCCATATGAATTAGAAAAAAAGCTTAACCATAACTAAAAATATCACAATTTAAATTTTGATAGGAATTGCACTGAATCTATGTATCTGTTTGGAGGATGCTGCCTTCTAATTTATGATACAGGATGTCTTTCTATTTATTTAGATATTCTTTAATTTCTTTCAACAATGTTTTGTAGTTTTCCTTTTTTTATTACACAGGTTTTGTAATTCTTTGGTTAAATTTTCTCTTAAAAATCTTATTTTATGCTATTGTAAATAACTTTTTTTAATTTTCATTTTCAAGTTGTTCATTTCTAGTATATAGAAACACAACTGATGTTTGTACATTGACTTTGCATCCTGCAAATTTGCTGAACCGCTTTATTCACTCTGTTTTTGTAGATTCTTTAGAATTTTCTGTATATAAGATCATGTAATCTGTACATAAAGTTAGCTTTACTTGGCCAGGCATGGTAGTGCACACCTGTAATCTCAGCATTTTGTGAGTCTGATGCAGGTGAATTGCTTGAGCCTAGGAGTTTGTGACCAGCCTGAGCTACATGGCGAAACCCTGTCTCTATAAAAAATAAGAAAATTAGCTGGGCATGGTGGTGCATGCCTGTAGTTCCAGCTACTCCAAAGGCTGAGGTAGGAGGAACACTGCAGTGAGCTGTGATTGCACCACTTCACTCCAGCCTGGCTGACAGAGCAAGACTCTGTCTCTCTCTCTCTCTCTATATATATATATATATGACAAGTTTTACTTAATTCTTTCCAATCTGGATAACTTTTATTTTATTTTCTGTGTAATTTTCCTAGCTAGAACCTCTAGTACAGCGTTAACTGGGGGAGCAACAACAGACATCCTTGTCTTATTCCCCATTTGGGGAAAATGTTTTCTGTCTTTAATCATTAAATAGGATGTTAACTGGGTTTTTCATAGATGTCCTCTATCATTTTGAGGAAGTTATCTTCTAGTTGGTTGATAATTATTTCTAGTTTGTTTTTATCATGAAAGAATGTTGAATGTTATCAAATGCTTTCTCTGTATCTATTGAGATAATTATATATTTTTCCCATTATTCTAGTACTATGCTATGTTACATACCATAACCTATATGAAATACATTGATTGATTTTCCTATGTTAAACTAATCTTGCATTTCTGCTACTATTTTGCTGAGAATTTTTGCATCTATGTTCATAGCAATATTGTTCTGTTTTCTTTTGAAATATTTGTCTGGTTTTGGTTTCAAGATAATAACTGGCCTCATAGAATGACTTAAAAACAGTTCCTTCCACTTCTCATTTTTGGAAAAGCTTGAGAAGGATGGTGTTAATTTTTATTTAAAGATTTGATAAAATTTACCAGTGAAGCTACCTAGTCTTGACTTTCTTCATTTGAAGTTTTTTGATTATTAATCAATACTTTTACTTGTTATAGGTGTCTTCAGATTTCTATTTTGAGTTAGTCTTGAGATTTTATGTGTTTATAGGAGCCTGGTATATCATCTAGGTAATCTAATTTGTTGTTGCAAAATGGATCATTGTATTCCTTTGTAATAATTTTTACTTCTGTAAAAGTCAGTAGTCATATTCCTTTTCCTTTCATTCTTGATTTTAGTAATTTGAGTCTTTGCTGTTTTTTACATCATCTGTTTAGCTAAATGTTCATCAAGTTTATCTTTTCAAAGAAGCAACTTTGGTTTCATTGATCTTTGTCTATTGTTTTTCTATTCTCCATTTGATTTTCTATGTTCTAATCTTTACTCTTCTTGTCTTTCTGCTTCCATTACATTTAGTTTGCTGTTATTTTCTCACTTACCAAAGTTAAAGACTACTGATTTGAAATTATTCCTTTTCCATGTGGGCATTCACAGTTACGAATTTCCTTCTGAGCACTGCTTTTACTGCATCCCATAAGTTTTAGTATGTTGTGTTTTTGTTTTCATTTATTTCAAAATATTTTCTAATTTTTTTGTGATTTCTTCTGTGACCTATTAGTTATTGAGGGCTATATTTTTAAATGTCCACATGTTTGTGAATTTTCTTGTTATTGATTTCCAATTTTATTCCATTGTGATTGGAGAGCATACTTTGTAAGACGCTAATATTTTAAAAATTCCTTGAGCCTTGTTTTCTGGATGAACATGTGGTCTATCTGGCAGAAAGTTCTGTGTGCACTTGAGAAGCCTGTGGGTCTTGCTCTTGCTGGGTGGATTGTTCTCTAGATTTCTTTCTCCAACTAAAGTGAGATTTCTTGCTCTTGGAACAAAAGGCAGAAGAAAGGTTTAAAGTGTTTTCTCAAGGTCAGTTTGGTGAATAAGATGGAAGGAGGGAGCCCCATCTGCTGAACTTGTGGGTGTGGCCATGTGCTCCTTCAGTCCAAGGATCAAGCTTTGCTCTGAGATAATTTTGAATTCTAGTCTCCGTGCCTTCCCTGTTGGGTACTAATGAGCCCCATCAACTCAACTCTTTGCAACTTCCTCACAGCCCCTTAGTGTCTACCTTCTTGTGCTTCCCTGATTTCCTCTTGTTGGTGACCATCATAAGGGCACTCTGGCAACACCGAAGACCCTGGCTGCTACAATGACATCAGTGAGGCCAGTTGTCAAGAGTTTGATTCATGGGATAAGGAAGGGTGCATTTCATCCACTTAGAAAGAAGCATCTTATAAAGAACTCAAACAAATTTACAAGAAAAAAACAACCCCATCAAAAAGTGGGCGAAGGATATGAACAGACACTTCTCAAAAGAAGACATTTATGCAGCCAAAAGACACATGAAAAAATGCTCATCATCACTGGCCATCAGAGAAATGCAAATCAAAACCACAGTGAGATACCATCGCACACCAGTTAGAATGGCGATCACTAAAAAGTCAGGAAACAACAGGTGCTGGAGAGGATATGGAGAAATAAGAACATTTTTACACCATTGGTGGGACTGTAAACTAGTTCAACCATTGTGGAAGTCAGTGTGGCAATTCCTCAGGGATCTAGAACTAGAAATACCATTTGACCCAGCCATCCCATTACTGGGTATATACCCAAAGGATTATAAAACATGCTGCTATAAAGACACATGCACACGTACATTTATTGCGGCACTATTCACAATAGCAAAGACTTGGAACCAACCCAAATGTCCAACAATGATAGACTGGATTAAGAAAATGTGACACATATATACCATGGAATACTATGCAGCCATAAAAAATGATGAGTTCATGTCCTTTGTAGGGACATGGATGAAGCTGGAAACCATCATTCTCAGCAAACTATCGCAAGGACAAAAAAACAAACACTGCATGTTCTCACTCATGGGTGGGAATTGAACCATGAGAACACATGGACACAGGAAGGAGAACATCACACACGGGGGCATGTTGTGGGGTCGGGGGAGGGGGGAGGAATAGCATTAGGAGATATACCTAATGTTAAATGACGAGTTAATGGGTGCGGCACACCAACATGGCACATGTATACATACGTAACAAACCTGCACGTTGTGCACATGTACCCTAAAACTTAAAGTATAATTAAAAAAAAAAAAGAAAGAAGCATCTTAGTGACCGTCAGGGGCTCTCACCTCATGTGCACCTAGAGGCTGCTGAAGCTCTGGAACAGTGATTCCTCCTCAACCCCCCTCTGACATAGTAGCTGGTGCTGCCATGTCTGCCTCTAGGAAGGGTCTTCTATGACGTGCTTTGTCATTGCTCGCTCTGGAGAGAAGCTGTCCTGCAGCTGAGTGGCCACACACTTGGACATGTAGCTAGGAGAAGCTGCAAAAGTGCTGCTGCATCTCAGCAATTGAGCGATAAGTGCAAGGCAAGGACCCTCGTGTAGACACAATGCTGAGTGTGGAATGGCCCAGGCCTCCCTTGTCCAGGTGGCACATGCCTATCCCATCTAACCCTCAGTATCCTGACTTCTGGTTGCATGCTAGGCATTCTCGTCCCCCACCCCCCACCACCCCCGCCGATCATAGCAGACCTGCACAGGCTGCCCCTGTCCAAGAAAGAGGCTCCCTAGACTCTGCATCCCCTGGCCACTCTTGGGCCCTCTCTGGTAAGCTTTTACCAGGTCCTGATAGCCCTGCCCGTGCTGCCTTCTCCTCAGCAACGTCAGCTTGTTTGTAGGACCCACGCAGCTCTGAGTGGCATAGGTGAGTGAAAGGGACAGAAACTGCATAGGCTGGAGAAAAATCCAGAGGGCCCTGTGTGGAACTCAGTGCCTGGCTTCCAGGGTGAGCATTTCCAAACATACGTTGTCACTAAGGCCTTTTCTTTTCTATTTTTTTCTTCTTTATTTGTACAAATAATATTTGGAAGACATCCAAAAAGTACAGCAGCTAAAGTTTATGAATATATGTATACTTGCATGATTATAATAGTAACCATTTTAAATAGTAATAATTATTCAATAACCCATTTGCCTCCTTTCTAAATACCGCCTGCCTTTGGACTTTCATGGAGGAGAGACAAACTTCTACCTTGTGTAAGGGACAGTGTTGGTTTCCTCCTCACCACGCTCAGCCCGCTGTGCTAAGTACATGTTTTATGTGAATTAAGCCCTTGCTTTAGTACCTTGCACCTCTGCGTCATGGCTGCAAACATGCAGGTCTTATAGAATGTTTATGTATAGATTATTTGTGCAGATTCCTTTCATTTCATTAGAACTTCAGGTTTTCTCTCTTTTTGTTATTTCCATTTAGTCTTCTCTTTCTACCCTCTTCTTTGTCATTCATTTCCAATAAAACTTTTTACAAAAACAAGCCTGAAAGCCATAGCTGGCAAATTCAATTTTTAAAAATGTTGATTAAACTATTACTTATGTTAATTACTGAAGGTCTTTGGCCATCCCTTAAATGCTGTACTCCCATCCCCTGCAGCCCAGCCTGGTGTTGGGATGAATCGTCAGGGGCCATCCCTAGATGCTGATGTTTTGATAGTGAGTGTCAGGGATGGCCCTGACCACACCCTCATCCCTTCTTCTCATTCCTGCCCTTCACAGTCTCCCCACCCTAGCTCCCTTTCTCTTGGTTCAAGAAAGATATTGGACATCACTGTGCTAGAACAGTTCACCTAGATGGGTTTCTAAGTCAGGAATTATTTCAAACCAAATCTTTGATTTCCAAGGTCATAAAGCAGTGTTAAAGCAATTCTGTGCTTTCTGCTATTAGTGAAATGGCTTAATTTACTGATTCCAGGTCTTTATTAAAACCCATTGTAGTGAACATGATGGACAAGTGTCCTCTCATGGAATTCCCAAAAACATGTTGATGCTTTTCAAAGCAAGTGGAATGTTAACTTAATACATGAAACGTCCTGGGAATGAAACTGTAAACTCAGTACAATAAACAATAAATGCATCTAGATAGAAAGATTCAGAAGTTAAGAACTGAGCTTTGAGGACTTTGGAGGCTGGAGTAAGGAGTTAATAACTGGCTCAGACTTGGGTAGGTCTTGGCTTGTTCTGCTGAGCAGAGCTGAGAGGATGGCAGATGTCCTGAGGCCCCTTTGAGGGTCTGGGAATGGACTTGGTCCATTGGCCACTGGTTGGTGTTAGCTAGCACTGGGTTGGATGGGAAGATCCCCAACCTCTACCCACTCCTTCTCTCCCATATGCCATATCATATAATCCATAGAAATCAATATGCCTTATCATATAATCCATAAAACTCAGGTTGCATGTTAGGTTTGCTTTCCTGGGAGTGACATCATTTATATGATAACAAACAAGAGAGAAAGACATGGTCCCCTGAGTTAAGTGCAATTTAACTTCAAAGAAGGATGGCTGCACCCTGCGATCTTTTGAAAAATTGGAAAATGCTGACAACTTTATTTTCTTCCAGCATTTTCAACTCATGAGGCTTCTGGGGAGAAATCTTCACCCTGAAATTTGAATTGCTCCGGAGCCTCACAAAATTGAATAAAATTCTACTGAGTAAAATAAATGTTCCTGACTCTCCAGTCTCACAGACACTACAAACAAACAGTTCTCCAGCTGGCACTTGGCTGTCAAGGGAGGAGCAGGGAAAGGTAACAAATGCAGAAACCTTTCTTCCACATGAATAGGAGGCAGCTCCATAGGGAGTGTTTTATCAATATCCATTTTAACATATTTACATCTTAATCTCTCATACGGTTCCCATGAATAAGTAAGATCTAACAAAGAAAACACATTCTATAAATTTAAAACAAAAAAAGAGGATCAAATTTGGAGAAACATCAACACAATGGACTGATCTATTATAGGAATTACAATTCTATGGCTTCCTTCCTTCTTTCATTCCCTCCTTCCTTCTTTCATTCCCTCCTTCCTTCCCTCCTTCCCTCCTTCTCTCCCTTCCTCCCTTCCTTCCTTCCTTCCTTCCTTCTGCCTTCCGTCTGTCTTTGTTTTCCTTTAATACATAGCCCAGGGATCAATACATCTCTGAAAAGACAAAAAGGAGGACAGAAACAGCTGTAAGCATCATGGTGTTGAGGCTGTAATCCTGGTGAATAATGCCGCTGTCATAACAGCGGGGATAATTTAATGCTGGCACTTAGCGACATGATAAATAGCTTGTCAGACATCGGCAGCGACAGAGTCGACGGAACTGCTCATGACAACTTCTGAAATATTAATCTTCTGTTTGATGGAGGCTGTGCTGGGAGGAGAGGCGCAGGAGGGCCAACTGCAGGACACACTCAGATACAAGCAAGTGCTTCTATTTGGGGAACTTTAACACAAAATTTTTTGTTTTTGCTTAAAAACTTTTCATCTGTGAAGCAATGTCTCAAAGGTTGAAATATAGGTCCTCTTTAGAGAACATGATTTAATCTCTTTAAATGACTGAAGAATTTTTTTCATTTACGACATGCAACTGGGCCCATATTTCCTTTTCTTTTCTGCCTTCCCAAAAGTTGTTTTTATCAAAATTTGACTAAAAGGAAGTATGTTAGAGTTTAAATATCTTATTATGGGGTCTAATTAATATACCGCCTTTTACCTAGTAGCAACTTC